>NC_000020.11:28875904-28889198 GCF_000001405.40 Homo sapiens | reverse complement strand
ACAGAGTTAGATCCTGTCAAAATAAATGAATGGAATGGAACGGAATGGAATGGAGTGGGATGGAGTGCAGTGGGGTGGAGTGGAGTGGTATGGAGTGGAATGGAATGGGACAGAATGGAATGCATTGGAGTGGATTGGAGCACTTTGAGGCCTATGGTGGAAAAGTAAATATCTTTACATAAAACCTAGACAGAAGCATTCTGAGAAACTTCTTTGTGATGTGTGCGTTCTTCTCACAGAGTTGAATCTTACTTTTTATTGAGCAGTTTGGAAACACTCTTTTTGTAGAATTTGCAAGTGGACATTTGGAGGGATTTGAGGCATATTTAAAAAAAATCTTCACATGAAAACTAGATAGAAGCATTCTGACAAACTTCTTTGTGATATGTGCATTCATCTCAAAGAGTTGAAACTTTCTTTTGATTCAGCAGTTTTGAAACACCCTTTTTATACTATCTGTAAGTGGACATTTGGCGTGCATTGAGACCTATGATGGAAAAGGATATATCTTCACAATAACTAGACAGAAGCATTCTGACAAATTTCTTTGTGATGTGTGCATTCATCTCACAGGTTTGAACCTTTGATTTGATTGAACAGCTTTGAAACACGTTGTACAATCTGCATGTGGAAATTTGGAGTGCTTCGAAGCCTATGGTGGAAAAGGGAATATCTTCATATAAAAACTATACAGAAACATTCTGACAAACTTCTTTGTGATGTGTGCATTCATCTCACAGATTTGAAACTTTCTTTTCATTGAGCTGTTTTGAAACACGTTTTTGTAGAATCTGCAAGTGTATATTTGGAGAGTTTTCAGGCCTACGGTGGAAAAGGAAATATCATCACATAAAAACTAGACAGAAGCATTCTGATAAACTTATCTGTGATGTGTGCATTCACCTCACAGTGTTGAAATTTTCTTTTGATTGAGCAGTATGGAAAAACTATTTTTGCAGAATCTGCAGGTGGACATTTTGAGTACTGTGAGGCCTAGTGTGGAAAAGGAAACATCTTCACATTAAAACTAGACAGAATCATTCTGACAAACTTCTTTGGGATGTGTGCATTCACCTGACAGAGTTGGAACTTTCTTTTGATTGATCAGTTTTGAAACACATTTTGTAGAATTTGCAAGAGGATATTTGGAGAGCTTTGAGGCATATGGTGGAAAAGAAAATATCTTCACTTAAGTGCTAGACGGAAGCATTCTGAAAACCTTCTTTGTGATGTGTGCATTCATCTCACAGAAGTGAACCTTAGTTTTGACTGAACTGTTTTGAAACACTCTTGTTGTAGAATCTACAATAGGACATTTGGAGCGCTTTGAGGACT
Organism: Homo sapiens; assembly: GCF_000001405.40. NCBI lineage: Eukaryota > Metazoa > Chordata > Mammalia > Primates > Hominidae > Homo > Homo sapiens. The sequence goes on along the minus strand of NC_000020.11, from coordinate 28,887,863 downwards.
ATGGTGGAAAAGGAAATATCCTCACATAAAAACTAGTCAGAAGATTTCTGACAAACTTCTTTGTGAGGTGTGCATTCATCTCACAGAGTTGAACTTTACTTTCAATTGAGCAGTTTTGAAACACTCTTTTTGTAGAATCTGCAGGTGGATATCTGGGGTGCTTTGAGAACTAAGTTGGAAAATGAGATATCTTTACATAATAAATAGAAGCATTCTGAGAAACTACTTTGTGATGTGTGCATTCATCTCACAGAGTTGAAACTTTCTTTTGATTGAGCAGCTTTGAAACACTTTTTTGGTAGACCCTGCAAGTGGACATTTGGAGTGCTATGAGGTCTATGGTGGAAAAGTACATAACTTAACATAAAATCTCTACAGAAATATTCTGAGGAACTTCTTTGTGATGTGTGCATTCATCTCACAAAGCTGAAACTTTCTTTTGATTGAGCAGTTTTGGAACACTCTTTTTGTAGTATCTGAAAGTGTACATTTGGATCGCTTTGGGGCCTATGGTGGAAAAGGAAATATCTTCACATAAAAACTAGACAGAATCATTCTGTGAAAATTCTTTGTGATATGTGCATTCATCTTAGAGAGTTGAACCTTTCTTTCGATTGAGCAGTTTTGAAAAACTCATTTTTAGAATCTGCAATTGGTCATTTGGAGCGCTTTCAGGCCTATGGTGGAAAAGGAAATATCTTCACATAAAACTAGACAGAAGAATTCTGACAAACTTCTTTGTGAGGTGTGCATTCAACTCACAGAGTGGAACTTTACTTTCGATTGAGCAGTTTTGAAACATTCTTTTTGTAGAATCTGCAGGTGGACGTCTGGAGTGCTTTAAGACCTAAGTTGGAAAAAGAGATATCTTCACATAATAAATAGAAGCATTCTGAGAAACTACTTTGTGATGTGTGCATTCATCTCACAGAGTTGAAACTTTCTTTTGATTGAGTAGCTTTGAAACACTCTTTTGGTAGACCCTGCAAGTGGACATTTGGAGTGCTATGAGGTCTATGGTGGAAAAGTAAATATCTTAACATAAAATCTCTACAGAAACATTCTGAAAAACTTCTTTGTGATGTGTGCATTCATCTCACAAAGGTGAAACTTTCTTTTGATTGAGCAGTTTTGGAACACTCTTTTTGTAGTATCTGAAAGTGTACATTTGGATCGCTTTGGGGCCTATGGTGGAAAAGGAAATATCTTCACATAAAAACAAGATATAATCATTCTGAGAAAATTCTTTGTGATATGTGTATTCATCTTAAAGAGTTGAACCTTTCTTTTGATTGAGCAGTTTTGAAAAACTCATTTGTAGAATCTGCAATTGGTCATTTAGAACGCTTAGAGGTCTATGGTGGAAAAGGAAATATCTTCAAATAAAAACTAGACAGAAGCATTCTGAGAAACTTCCTTATGATGTGTGCACTCACCTCACAGACTCGAAACTTTCTTTTGATTGAGCAGTTTGGAAACACTCTTTTTGTAGAATCTGCAAGCGGACATTTGGAGTGCTATACTGCCTATAGTGGAAAAGGTAATATCTTCACATAAAAACTAGACAGAAACATTCTCAGCAACTCCTTTGTCATGTGTACATTCAAGTGACAGAGTTGAAATTTTCTTATGTTGAGCAGTTTTGAAACATTCTTTTTTAGAATCTGCAAGTGGATATTTGGAGTGCTTTGAGGCCTTTTTTGGAAAAGGAAATAGCTTCACATGAAAACTAGACAGAAGCATTCTGAGAAAATTCTTTGTGATGTATCCATGAATCTCACAGAGTTGGAGATTTTTCGATTGAGCAGTTTTGAAATACTCCTTTTGTAGAATCTACAGGTGGACACTTTGAGAGCTTTGAGGCCTTTGGTAGAAAAGGAAACATCTTCACATAAAATCTAGACAGAAGCAAACTGAGAAACTTCTTTGCGATGTGTGCATTCATCTCACATACTTAAAACTTCCTTTGATTGAGCATTTTGGAAATGCACTATTGGTAGAATCTGCAAGTGGACATTTGGAGCGCTTTGAGGCCTACGGTGGAAAAGGAAATATCTTTGCATAAAATCTAGAGAGAAGCAATCTGAGAAACTTCTTTGTGATGTGTGCATTCATCTCAGAGAGTGAAACCTTCCTTTTCATTGAGCAGTTCTGAAACTCTTTTTGTTGAATCTGCAATAAGAAATTGGGAGTGCTTTAAGGCCTATGGTGGAAAAGGAAATATCTTCCCATAAGAACAAGACAGAAGAAATCTGAGAAATTTTTTTGTGGTGTGTGCGTTCATCTCACAGAGTTGAACCTTTCTTTTGATTGAGCAGTTTTCAAACACTCTTTTTGTAGAATCTGCAAGTGGACATTTGGAGCGCTTTGCAGCCTATGGTAACAAAGGAAATGTCTTCACATAAAATCTAGACAGAAGCAATCTGAGAAGCTTCTTTCTGATGTGTGCATTCACCTCACAGAGTTAAACATTTCTTTTGATGAAGCAGTTTTGAAACTCTCTTTTTGTAGATTCTGCAACTGGACATTTGGAGTGATATGCGGTCTATAGTGGAAAAGGAAATACCTTCACATGAAAACTAAACAGAAGAATTCTGAGAAACTTCTTTGTGATTCGTACGTTCATCATACAGAGTTGAACCTTTCTTCTGATGGAGCAGTTTTGAAACTCTCTTTTTGTAGAATCTGCAAGTGGACGTTTGGAGCACTTTCAAGCCTATGGTGTAAAAGGAAATATCTTCAAATGAAAACCAGGTAGAAGCTTTCTGAGAAACTTCCTTATGATATGTGCATTCATCTCCCTGAGTTGAGCATTTCTTTTGAAGGACCAGTTTTGAAATACTCTTTTTGTATAATCTGCAAGTGGACATTTCGAGCGTCTTGAGGCCTATGGTGAAAAAGAAAATATCTTCACATAAAAACTGGACAGAAGCATTCTGAGGAACCTCTTTGTGATGTGTGCATTCATATCTCAAATTTGAATCTTTCTTTTGAAGGACCACTTTTGAAATCCTCTTTTTGAAGAATCTGCAAGCGGACATTTCGTGCACCTTGAGGCCTATGCTGGAAAAGGAAATATCTTCACATAAAATCTAGACAGAAGCAATCTGAGAAACTTCCTTGTGATGTGTTCATTTATCTCACAGAGTTAAACCTTTCTTTTGATTGAGCAGTTTTGAAACTCTCTTTTTGTAGAATCTGTAAGTGGACATTTGGTGTGATTTGAAGCCTATGGTGGAAAAGGAAATATCTTCACATAAAAACCAGATAGAAATATTCTGAGAAACTTCTTTGTGATGTGTGCATTCATCTCAAGAGTTGAACCTTTCTTTTGAAGGACCAGTTTTGAAATACACTTTTTGTAGAATCTGCAAGTGGACATTTCAAGCGCCTTGAGGCCTATGGTGGAAAAGAAAATATCTTCACATAAAAACCAGACAGAAGAATTCTGAGAAACTTCCTTGTTATGTGTGCGTTCATCTTACAGAGTTGAACCTTTCTTTTCAATGAGCAGTTTGGAAACACTACATTTTTAGAACCTGCAAGTGGAGATTTGGAGTGCTTTGTGGCCTATGGTAGAAAAGGAAATATCTTCACATAAAATCTACACAGAAGAAATCTGAGAAATTTCTTCATGATGTGTGCATTCATCTCCCAGAATTTAAGCTTTCTTTTGATGGATCAGTTTTGAAATACTTTTTTTGTTGAATCTGCAAGTGGACATTTTGAGCACCTTGAGGCCTATTGTGGAAAATGAAATATCCTCACAAAAAAACTAGAGAGAAGTATTCTGAGCAACTTCTATGTGATGTGTGTGTTCGTCTCACAGAGTTGAACCATTCTTTAGATTGAGAAGTTTGGAAACTGTCTTTTTGTAGAATCTGCAAGTGGACATTTGGAGTGCTTTGCCACCTATGGTAGCAAAGGGACTATCTTCACATAAAATCTGGACATAAGAAATCAGAGAAACTTCTTTGTGATGTGTGCATTCACCTCAGAGTGTTAAAGCTTTCTTTTGATTGAGAAGTTTTGAAACTCTCTTTTTGTAGAATCTGCAAGTGGATATTTGGAGGGCTTCAAGGCCTCTGGTGGAAATGAAAATATCTTCAGATAAAAACTAGACAGAAGAATTCTGAGAAACTTCTTTGTGATGTGTGCGTTCATCTCACAGAGTTGAACCTTTCTTTTGATTGAGCAGTTTGGAAACACTCTTTTTGTGGATCTGCAAGTGGGCATTTGGAGTTCTTTGGGGCCTATGGTAGGAAAGAAAATATCTTCACAAAAAATCCAGACAGAAGCAACCTGAGAAACTTGCTAGTGATGTGTGTTTTCATCTAAGAGAGTTAAAACTATCTTTTGATTGAGCAGTTTTGAAAATCTCTTTTCGTAGAATCTGCAAGCGGACATTTGGAGCACTTTGAGACCTGTGGTGGGAAAGGAAATATCTTCACATAAAAACTAGACAGAAGAATTCTGGGAAACTACTTTGTGATGTGTGCGTTCAGCTCACTGAGTTGAACCTTTCTTTTGATTGAGCAGTTTGGAAAAACTCTTTTTGTAGAATCTGCAAATGAACATTCGGTGCGCTTTGCGGCCAATGGTAAAAAGGGAATATCTACACATCAAATCTAGAAAGAAGCAATCTGAGAAACTTCTTTGTGATGTGTGCATTCATCTCACAGAGCTAACCCTTTCTTTTGAGCAGTTTTGAAACTCTCTTTTTATAGAATCTGCGAGTGGACATTTGGAGCACTTTCAGGCCTACGGTAGAAAAGGAAATGTCTTCACATAAAAACTTGATAGAAGCATTCTGACAAACTTCTTTGTGATGTGTGCATTCATCTCCCAGAGTTGAAACATTCTTTCAAAGGACCAGTTTTGAAATACTCTTTTTATAGAATGTGCAAGTGGACATTTCGAGTGCCTTGAGGCATATGATTGAAAAGGAAATATTTTCACATAAAAACTAGACAGAAGAATTCTGAGAAACTGCTTTGTGATGTGTGCGTTCATCTCACGGAATTGAACCTTTCTTTTGATTTAGCAGTTTGGAAACACTCTTTATGTAGAATCGGCAAGTGGACATTTGGAGCGCTTGGTGGCCTATGATAGAAAAGGAAATATTTTCACATAAAATCTACACTGAAGCAATCTGAGAAACTTCTTTGTAATATGTGCATTCATCTCACTGAATTAAACCTTTCTTTTGATTGAGCACTTTAGAAACTCTCTTTTTGCAGAATCTGCAGGTGGATTTTTGGAGCACTCTGAATCCTATGTTGGAAAAGGAAATACCATCACATAAAAACTAAACAGAAGAATTCTAAGAAACTTCTTTGTGATGTGTGCGTTCATCTCACAGAGTTGAGTCTTTCTTTGGATTGAGCAGTTTGGAAATACTCTTTCTGTACAATCCACAAGTGGACAATTAGAACACTTTGCTGCCTATGGTAGAAAAGTAAATAACTTCACATAAAATCTAGACAGAAACAATGTGAGAAGCTTATTTGTGATGTGTGCATTCATCTCAGAGAGTTACACATTTCTTTTGATTGATCATTTTTGAACCTCTCTTTTTGTAGGATCTTCAAGTGGACATTTGGAGCCCTTTGAGGCCTATGGTGCAAAAGGTAATATCTTCACATAAAAACTAGACAGAAGTATTCTGAGACACTTCTTCATGATGTGTGCGTTCATCTCACAGAATTGAAACTTTCTTTTGATTGAGCAGTTTGGAAACACTCTTTTTGTAGAGTCTGCAAGTGGACATTTGCAACGCTTTGTGGCCCATGTTAGAAAAGGAAATATCTTCACATAAAATCTAGACAGAAGCAATCTGAGAAACTTCTTTTTGATGTGTGCATTCATCTAACGGAGTTAAACATTTCTTTTGGTTGAGCAGTTTTGAAAATCTCTTTTCGTAGAATCTGCAAGTGGACATTTGGAGCACTTTGAGACCTGCGATGGAAAAGGAAATATCTTCACATAAAAACTAGACAGAAGTCTGGGAAACTTCTTTGTGACGTGTGTGTTCATCTCACGGAGTTGAACCTTTCTTTTGATTGAGCAGTTTGGAAAAACTCTTTTTGTAGAATCTGCAAATGAACGTTTGGTGCGTTTTGCGGCCAAAGGTAAAATGGGAATATCTACACATCAAATCTCGAAAGAAGCAATCTGAGAAACTTCTTTGTGATGTATGCATTCATCTCACAGAGTTAACTCTTTTTTTTTTTTTTGATTGAGCAGTTTTGAAACTCTCTTTTTATAGAATCTGCAAGTGTACATTTGGAGCACTTTTAGGCCTATGGTAGAAAAGGAAATGTCTTCACATAAAAACTTGATAGAAGCATTCTGACAAACTACTTTGTAATGTTTGCATTCATATCCCAGAGTTAAAACATTCTTTTGAAGGACCAGTTTTGAAATATTCTTTTTATAGAATGTGCAAGTGGACATTTCGAGTGCCTTGAGGCGTATGGTTGTAAAGGAAATATCTTCACATAAAAACTAGACAGAAGAATTCTGAGAAACTGCTTTGTGATGTGTGCGTTCATCTCAGGGAATTGAAACTTTCTTTCTATTCAGCAGTTTGGAAACACTCTTTATGTAGAATCGGCAAGTGGACATTTGGAGCGCTTTGTGGCCTATGGTAGAAAAGGAAATATTTTCTTTTTTTTAATTATTTTTTATTATTATACTTTAAGTTTTAGGGTACATGTGCACAATGTGCATGTTAGTTACATATGTATACATGTGACATGCTGGTGTGCGGCACCCACTAACTCATCGTCTAGCATTAGATATATCTCCCAATGCTGTCCCTCCCCCTTCCCCCCACCCCACAACAGGCCCAAAAGTGTGATGTTCCCCTTCCTGTGTCCATGTGTTCTCATTGTTCAATTCCCACCTATGAGTGAGAATATGTGGTGTTTTGTCTTTTGTTCTTTTGATAGTTTACTGAGAATGATGATTTCCAATTTCATCATGTCCCTACAAAGAACATGAACTCATCATTTTTTATGGTTGCATAGTATTCCATAGTGTATATGTGCCACATTTTCTTAATCCAGCCTTTCATTGTTGGACATTTGGGTTGGTTCCAAGTCTTTGCTATTGTGAATAGTGCCACAATAAACATACATATGCATGTGTCTTTATAGCAGCATAATTTATAGTCCTTTGGGTATATACCCAGTAATGGGATGGCTGGGTGAAATGGTATTTCTAGTTCTAGATCCATGAGGAATCGCCACACTGACTTCCACAATGGTTGAACTAGTTTAGAGTCCCACAAACAATGTAAAAGTGTTCCTATTTCTCCACATCCTCTCCAGCACCTGTTGTTTCCTGACTTTTTAATGATTGTCATTCTAACTGGTTTGAGATGATATCTCATTGTGGTTTTGATTTGCATTACTATGATGGCCAGTGATGGTGAGCATTTTTTCATGTTTTTTTTGCTTGCATAAATGTCTTCTTTTGAGAAGTGTCTGTTCATGTCCTTAGCCCACTTTAAGCATTCTTATTCACCAACAACAGACAAACAGAGAGCCAAATCATAAGTGAACTCCTATTCACAATTGTTTCAAAGAGAATAAAATACCTAGGAATCCAACTTACAAGGGATGTGAAGGACCTCTTCAAGGAGAACTACAAACCACTGCTCAAGGAAATAAAGAGGATACAAACAAACGGAAGAACATTCCATCCTCATGGGTAGGAAGAATCAATATCGTGAAAATGGCCATACTGCCCAAGGTAATTTACAGATTCAATGCCATCCCCATCAAGCTACCAATGACTTTCTTCACAGAATTGGAAAAAACTACTTTAAAGTTCATATGGAACCAAAAAAGAGCTGGCATCACCGAGTCAATCCTAAGCCAAAAGAACAAAGCTGGAGGCATCATACTACCTGACTTCAAACTATACTACAAGGCTACAGTAACCAAAAGAGCATGGTACTGGTACCAAAACAGAGATATAGATCAATGGAACGGAACAGAGCCCTCAGAAATAATGCCACATATCTACCACTATCTGATCTTTGACAAACCTGAGAAAAACAAGCAATGGGGAAAGGATTCCCTATTTAATAAATGGTGATGGGAAAACTGGCTAGCCATAAGTAGAAAGCTGAAACTGGATCCCTTCCTTACACCTTATACATAAATCAATTCAAGATGGATTAAAGCCTTCAACGTTAGATCTGAAACCATAAAAACCCTAGAAGAAAACCTAGGCTTTACCATTCAGGACATAGGCATGGGCAAGGACTTCATGTCTAAAACACCAAAAGCAATGGCAACCAAAGCCAAAATTGACAAATGGGATCTAATTAAACTAAAGAGCTTATGCACAGCAAAAGAAACTACCATCAGAGTGAACAGGCAACCTACAAAATGGGAGAAAATTTTCGCAACCTACTCATCTGACAAAGAGCTAATAACCAGAATCTACAATGAACACAAACAAATTTACAAGAAAAAAACAAACAACCCCATCAAAAAGTAAAGGAAATATTTTCACATAAACTCTAGACCGAAGCAATATGAGAAACTTCTTTGTAATGTGTGCATTCATCTCACAGAGTTAAACCTTTTTTTTTTTGATTGAGCACTTTAGAAACTCTCTTTCTGCAGAATCTGCAGGTGGACTTTTGGAGCACTCTGAGTCCTATGTTGGAAAAGGAAATACTATCACATAAAAACTAAACAGAAGAATTCTAATAAACTTCTTTGTGATGTGTGCGTTCATCTCAGAGAGTTGAGTCTTTCTTTTCATTGCGCAATTTGTAAATACTCTTTTTGTAGAATCTACAAGTGGGCAATTAGAACTCTTTGTGTCCTATGGGAGAAAAGTAAATAACTTCACATAAAATCTAGACAGAAACAATGTGAGAAGCTTATTTGTGATGTGTGCATTCATCTCAGAGAGTTACACATTTCTTTTGATTGATCATTTTTGAACCTCTCTTTTTGTAGGATCTTCAAGTGGACATTTGGAGCCCTTTGAAGCCTATGGTGCAAAAGGAAATATGTTCACATAAAAACTAGACAGAAGAATTCTGAGAAACTTCTTCATGATGTGTGCATTCATCTCACAGAATTGAAACTTTCTTTTGATTGAGCAGTTTGGAAACACTCTTTTTGTAGAAACTGCAAGTGGACATTTGGAACGCTTTGTGGCCTATGTTAGAAAAGGAAATATCTTCACATAAAATCTAGACAGAAGCAATCTGAGAAACTTCTTTGTGATGTGTGCATTCATCTAAGAGCGTTAAACCTTTCTTTTGGTTGAGCAGTTTTGAAAATCTCTATTTCTAGATTCTGCAAGTGGACATTTGGAACACTTTGATACCTGTGGTGGAAAAGGAAATATCTTCACATAAAAACTAGATAGAAGAATTCTGGAAAACTTCTTTGTGATGTGTGTGTTCATCTCACGGAGTTGAACCTTTCTTTTGATTGAGCAGTTTGGAAAAACTCTTTTTGTAGAATCTGCAAATGAACATTTGGTGCGCTTTGCAGCCAATGGTAAAAAGGAAATATCTACACATCAAATATAGAAAGAAGCAATCTGAAAAACTTCTTTGTGATGTGTGCATTTATCTCACAGAGTTAACCCTTTCTTTTGATTGAGCAGCTTTGAAACTCTCTTTTTATAGAATCTGCAAGTGTACATTTGGAGCACTTTTAGGCCTATGGTAGAAAAGGACATATCTTCACATAAAAACTTGATAGAAGCATTCTGAAAAACTTCTTTGTGATGTGTGCATTCATCTCCCAGAGCTGAAATATTCTTTCAAAGGACCAGTTTTGAAATATTCTTTTTATAGAATGTGCAAGTGGACATTTTGAGCGCCTTGAGGCGTATGGTTGAAAAGGAAATATCTTCACGTAAAAACTAGACAGAAGAATTCTGAGAAACTGCTTTGTGATGTGTGCGTTCATCTCACGGAGTTGAATCTTTCTATTTATTCAGCTGTTTGGAAACACTCTTTATGTAGAATCAGCAAGTGGACATTTGGAGCGCTTTGTGACCTATGATGGAAAAGGAAATATTTTCACATAAAATCTAGACTGAAGCAATCTGAGAAACTTCTTTGCAATGTGTGCATTCATCTCACAGATTTAAATATTTCTTTTGATTGAGCAGTTTTGAAACTCTCTTTTGTAGAATCTACAAGTGGACATTTGGAGGTCTTTGAGGCCTATGATGGAAAAGGAAATATATTCACATGAAAACCAGATAGAATAATTCTGACGAACTTCTTCTTGATGTGTGCGTTCATCTCAGAGAGGTGAACTTTTCTTTTGATAGAGCAGTTTCAAAACACTCTTTTTTTAGAATCTGCAAGTGGATATTTTGAGCGATTTGCGGCCTATGGTAGAAAGAATGAAATATCCAACATAAAATCTACACAGAATCAATCTGAGAAACTTTTTTGTGATGTGGGCATTCATCTCACATAGTTGAGTCTTTCTTTTGATGGAGCAGTTTTGAAACTCTCTTTTTGTAGAATCTGCAAGTGGACATTTGGAGCGCTTTGTGGCCTATGTTAGAAAAGGCAATATCTTCACATAAAATCTAGACTGAAGCAATTTGAGAAACTTCTTTGTGATATGTGCATTCATCTCACAGAGTTAAACTTTTCTTTTGGTTGAGCCGTTTTGAAACTCTCTTTCTCTGGAATCTGCAAGTGGACATTTGGAGCGCTTTGAGGCCTATGGTGGAGTAGGAAGTATCTTCACATAAAAACTAGACAGAAGAATGCTGAGAAACTGCTTTGTGATGTGTACGTTTATACCACAGAGCTGAACCTTTCTTTTGATTATGCAGTTTGGAAACACTCTTTGTAGAATCTGGAAGTGGATATTTGGAGTGCTTAGCAGGCTATGGTAGAAAAGGAAATACCTTCCCATAAAATCTAGACACAAGCAATCTAAAAAACTTTGTGGTGTGTGCTTTCATCTCACAGTGTTAAAACTTTGTTTTTCTTGAGCAGTTTTGAAACCCTCTTTTTGTAGAATCTGCAAGTGGGCATTTGAAGCTCTTTGAGGCCTATGTTGGAAAAGGAAATATCTTCACATAAAAACCACATAGAAACATTCTGGGAAACTTCTTTGTAATGTGTGCCTTCGTCTCCCAGAGTTGAAACTTTCTTTTGATGTACTAGTTTTGAAGTACTCTTTTTGTAGAATCTGCAATTGGACATTTCTAGCGCCTTGAGGACTATGGTGGAAAATGAAATATCTACACAGAAAAACTAAACAGAAGAACTCTGAGAAACTTCTTTGTGATGTGTGAATTTATCTCACAGAGTTGAAACTTTCTTTAGATGGAGCAGTTTGGAAACCCTCTTTTTGTACAATCTGCAAGTGGACATTTGGACTGCTCTGTGGCCTATGGTAGAAAAGGAAATATCTTCATGTAAAATCTAGACAGAAACAACTCAGAAACTCTTTTGTGATGTGTTCATTTATCTCACAGAGTTAAACCTTTCTTTTGAATGAGCAGATTGGAAACACTCTTTTTGTAGTATCTGCAGTTGGACATTTGGAACACTTTGTGGCCTATGGTAGAAAAGGAAATACCTTCACATACAATCCAGACAGAAGCAATCTGGGAAACTTCTTTGTGATGTGTGCTTTCATCTCACAGAGTTGAACTTTTCTTTTGATTGAACAGTTTGGAAACTGCATGTAGACACTTGAAGCGATTTGTGGCCTATGGCAGAAAAGGAAATATCTTCACATAAAATCTAGACAGAGGCAATCTGAGAAACTTTTTCTGATGTGTGCATTCATCTCAGAGAGTTAAACATTTCTTTTGATTGAGGTGTTTTGAAACTCTCTGTTTGTAGAATCTGCAATTGGACGTTTGGAGCGATTTGAGGCCTATAGTGGGAAAGGAAATATCTCCACATAAAAACTAGATGGAAGAATTCTTAGAAACT
>NC_000020.11:28868452-28875884 GCF_000001405.40 Homo sapiens | reverse complement strand
CACTCTTTTTGTAGAATCTGCAAGTGCACATTTGGAACGCTTTGGGGCCTATGGTAGAAAAGGAAATATCTTCACATAAAATCTAGACAGAAGCAATCTGAGTAACTTCTTTGTGATGTATGCATTCATCTCACAGAGTTGAACCTTTCCTTTTTTTATTAGTATACTTTATGTTTTAGGGTACATGTGCACAATATTCAAATTAGTTGCATATGTATACATGTGACATGCTGGTGCGCTGCACCCACTAACTCGTCATCTAGCATTAAGTATATCTCCCAATGCTATTTCTCCCCCCTCCCCCGACCCCACAACAGTCCCAAGAGTGTGATCTTCCCTTTCTTGTGTTCATGTGTTCTCATTGTTCAATTCTCACCTATGAGTGAGAATATGTGGTGTTTGGTTTTTTGTTCTTGCGATAGTTTACTGAGAATGATGATTTCCAATTTCATCATGTCCCTACGAAGGACATAAACTCATCATTTTTTGTGGCTGCATAGTATTCCATGGTGTATATGTGCCACATTTTCTTAATCCAGTCTATCATTGTCGGACATTTGGGTTGGTTCCAAGTCTTTGCTATTGTGAATAGTGCTGCAATAAACATACGTGTGCATGTGTCTTTATAGCAGCATGATTTACAGTCCTTTGGGTATATGCCCAGTAATGGGATGGCTGGGTCAAATGTTAATTCTAGTTCTAGATCCCTGAGGAATCGCCACATGGACTTCCACAATGGATGAACTTGTTTACAGTCCTACCAACAGTGTAAAAGTGTTCCTATTTTTCCACATCCTCTCCAGCACCTGTTGTTTCCTGACTTTTTAATGATTGCCATTCTAATGGGTGTGCGATGATATCTCATTATGGTTTTGATTTACATTTCTCTGATGGCCAGTGAAGGTGAGCATTTTTTCATGTGTTTTTTGGCTGCATAAATGTATTCTTTTGAGAAGTGTCTGTTCATGTCCTTCACCATCTTTTTGATGGTGTTCTTTGTTTTTTTCTTGTAAATTTGTTTGAGTTCATTGTAGATTCTGGATATTAGCCCTTTGTCAGATGACTAGGTTGCAAAAATTTTCTCCCATTTTGTGGGTTGCAAATCAATAAATGTAATCCAGTATATAAACAAAACCAAAGACAAAAACCACATGATTATCTCAACAAATGCAGAAAAAGCCTTTGACAACATTCAACAACCCTTCGTGCTAAAAACTCTCAATAAATTAGGTATTGATGGGATATATCTCAAAATAATAAGAGCTATCTATGACAAACCCACAGCCAATATCCTACTGAATGGGCAAATACTGGAAGCATTCCCTTTGAAAACTGGCACAAGACAGGGATGCCCTCTCTCACCACTCCTATTCAACATAGTGTTGGAAGTTCTGGCCAGGACAATTAGGCAGGAGAAGGAAATAAAGTGTATTCATTTAGGAAAAGAGGAAGTCAAATTTTCCCTGTTTGCAGACGACATGATTGTATATCTAGAAAACCCCATAGTCTCAGCCCAAAATCTCCTTAAGTTGATAAGCAACTTCAGCAAAGTCTCAGGATACAAACTCAATGTACAAAAGTAGCAAGCATTCTTACACACCAATAACAGAAAAACAGAGAACCACATCATGAGTGAACTCCCATTCACAATTGCTTCAAAGAGAATAAAATACCTAGGAATCCAACTTACAAGGGACTTGAAGGACCTCTGCAAGGAGAACTACAAACCACTGCTCAATGAAATAAAAGAGGATACAAACAAATGGAAGAACATTCCATCCTCATGGGTAGGAAGGATCAATATCGTGAAAAAGGCCATAGTAATTTATAGATTCAATGCCATCCCCATCAAGCTACCAATGACTTTCTTCACAGAATTGGAAAAAAACCTACTTTAAAGTTCATATGGAACCAAAAAAGAGCCTGCATCACAAGTCAATCCTAGGCCATAAGAACAAAGCAGGAGGCATCATGCTACCTGACTTCAAAGTATACTACAAGGCTACAGTAACCAAAACAGCATGGTACTGGTACCAAAACAGAGATATAGATCAATGGAACAGAACAGAGCCCTCAGAAATAACGCCACATATCTACAACTATCAGATCTTTGACAAACCTGAGAAAAACAAGCAATGGGGAAAGGATTCCCTATTTAATAAATGGTGATGGGAAAACTGGCTAGCCATATGTAGAAAACTGAAACTGGATTCCTTCCTTACACCTTATAAAAAATTAATTCAAGACGGATTAAAGACTTAAACTTTGGACCTGAAACCATAAAAACCCTAGAAGAAAACGTAGGCATTACCATTCAGGACATAGGCATGGGCAAGAACTTCATGTCTAAAACACCAAAAGCAATGGCAACAAAAGCCAAAATTGACAAATGGGATTTAATTAAACTAAAGAGCTTCTGCACAGTAAAAGAAACTTCCATCAGAGTGAAACTTTCTTTTGATTCAGCAGTTTGGAAACACTCTTTTTGTAGATTCTGCAAGTGGACGTTTGGAGTGCTTTGTGGCCTATATAGAAAAGGAAATATCTTCACATAAAATCTATACAGAAGCATTCTGAGAAACTTCTTTGAGATGTGTGAATTCATCTCACAGAGTTAAGCCTTTCTTTTGATTCAGCAGTTTGGAAACTCTCTATAAGTAGAATCTGCAAGTGGCCATTTGGAGTACTTGGAGGCCTATGGTGGAAAAGGAAATATCTTCACATAAAAACTAGAGAGAAGAATTCTGAGAAACCTCTTTGTGATGTGTGCGTTCATCTCACAGAGCTGAAACTTTATTTTGATTGAGCAGTATGGAAACAATGTTTTTGTAGAATCTGCAAGTGCATTTTTTGAGTGCTTTTTGGCCTATGGCAGAAAAGGAAATATCTTCACATAAAATCTAGACAAAAGCAATCTGGGAAACATCTTTGTGATGTGTGCATTCATCACACAGTGTTAAACCTTTCTTTTGATTGAGCTGTTTTGAAATTCTCTTTCTGTAGAATCTGCAAGGGGATATTTGGAGCGCTTTGAGGTCTACGGTGGAAAAGGAAATATCTTCACATAAATACCAGACAGAAGAATTCTGAGAAACTTCTTTGTGATGTGTGCGTTCACATCACAGAGTTGAACCTTACTTTTGATAGAGCAGTTTGGAAACACTCTTTTTGTAGAATCTGCAAGTGGACATTTGGAGCACCTTGTGGCCTATGTTAGAAAAGGAAATTCCTTCACATAAAATCTAGACAGAAGCAATCTGAGAAACTACTTTGTGATGTGTGCACTTCTCTCACAGTGTTAAATATTTCTTTTCATTGAGGAGTTTTCAGGCTCTCTTTCTGTAGAATATGCAAGTGGACATTTGAAGTGCTTTGAGTACTACGGTGGAAAAGGAAATATCTTCACATAAAAACTATATAGAAGAATTCTGAGAAACTTCCCTGTTAATTGTAGGTACATCTCACCGAGTTGAACCTTTCTTTTGATTCAGCATTTTTGAAACATTCTTTTAGCAGATTCTGCAAGTGGACATTTAGAGCGCTTTGCAGCCTATGTCAGAACAGATAAGATCTTCACATAATATCTAGACAGAAACAATCTGAGAAACTCCTTTGTGATGTGTGCACTAACCTCAGAGAGTTAAAACTTTCCTTTGATTGAGGAGATTCAAAGCTCTCTTTTTGTAGAGTCTTCAAGGGGACATTTGGAACGATTTGAGGACCATGGCGGAAAAGGAAACATGTTAACATAAAAACTAGGCCGAAGAATTCTGAGAAACTTCTTGGTGATGTGTGCATTCATCTCACAGAGTAGAACTTTCCTTTGACTGAGCAGTTTGGAAACACTCTTTTTGTGGAATCTGCAATTGGATATGTGGAGCGCTTTGCAGCCTATGGTAGTAAAAAAAAAAAATCTTCACATAAAATCTAGACAGAAACAATCTGAGAAACTTCTTTGAGATGTGTGCATTCAACTCACAGAGTTAAACCTTTTTTTTTGATTGAGCAGTTTGGAAACTCTTTTTTGTAGAAGCCGCAAGCAGACATTTGGAGTACTTTGAGGTGTATGATGGAAAAGGAAATATCTTCACATAAAAAGAAGACAGAAGAATTCTGAGAAACTGCTTTGTGTTGTGTGCATTCCTCTCACGGAGTTGAAACTTTCTTTTGATTGAGCAGTATGTAGACACTATTTTTGTAGAATCCGCAAGTGGACATTTGGAGTGCTTTGTGGCCATGGTGGAAAAGGAAATATCTTAAAATAAAAAATAGGCAGAAGAATTCTGAGAAACTCCTTTGTGATGTGTGCGTTAATCTCACAAAGTTGAACCTTTCCTTCAGTTGAGCAGTTTGGAAACACTCTTTTTGTAGAATCTGCAACTGGACATTTGGAGTGCTTTGTGGCCTATGGTAGAAAAGGAAAAATCTTCACTTAAAACCTAGACAGTAGCAATGTGAGAAACTTCTTTGAGAAGTATGCATTCATCCCACAGAGTTAAAACTTTCTTTTGATTGAGCAGTTTTGAAACTCTCTTTTTGTAGAATCTGCAAGTGGATGTTTGGAGTACTTGGAGGCCTATGGTGGAAAAGGAAACATCTTCATATAAAAACTAGAGAGAAGAATTCTGAGAAACCTCTTTGTGATATGTGCGTTCATCTCATGGAGTTGAAACTTTCTTTTGATTGAGCAGTATGGAAACAATGTTTTTGTAGAATCTGCAAGTGCATATTTGGAGTGCTTTGCGGCCAATGGCAGAAAAGAAAATATCTTCACAAAAAATCTAGACAAAAGCAATCTGTGAAACTTCTTTGTTATGTGTGTATTCATCTCACAGAGTTAAACCTTTCTTTTGATTGAGCAGTTTTGAAATTCTCTTTCTGTAGAATCTGCAAGTGGACATTTGGAGCACTTTGAGGTCTATGGTAGAAAAGGAAATATCTTCACATAAATACTAGACAGAAGAATTCTGAGAAACTTCTTTGTGATGTGTGCATTTACCTCACAGAGTTGAACCTTTCTTTTGATAGAGCAGTTTGGAAACACTCTTTCTGTAGAATCTGCAAGTGGACATTTAGTTCACCTTGTCGCCTATGTTAAAAAAGGAAATACCTTCACATAAAATCTAGACAGAAGCAATCTGAGAAACTAATTTGCGATGTGTGCATTCATCTCACTGTGTTAAATATTTCTTTTCATTGAGGAGTTTTCAGGCTCTCTTTCTGTAGAATATGCAAGTGGACATTTGAAGCGCTTTGAGGACTATGGCAGAAAACGAAATATCTTCACATAAAAACTAGATAGAAGAATTCTAAGAAACTTCCCTGTTATGTGTAGGTACATCTCACCGAGTTGAACCTATCTTTTGATTCAGCATTTTGGAAACAATCTTTTAGTAGATTCTGCAAGTGGACATTTGGAGCACTTTGCAGCCTATGTCAGAACAAGTAAGATCCTCACATAACATCTAGACAGAAGCAATCTGAGAAACTCCTTTGTGATGTGTGCATTAACCTCAAAGAGTTAAAACTTTCCTTTGATTGAGGAGATTCAAAGCTCTCTTTTTGTAGAGTCTGCAAGCTTACATTTGGAGTGCTTTGAGGACCATGGTGGAAAAGGAAATAACATAAAAACTAGGCAGAAGAATTCTGAGAAACTTCTTGGTGATGTGTGCATTCATCTCGCAGAGTAGAACCTTTCCTTTGACTGAGCAGTTTGGAAACATTCTTTTTGTAGAATCTGCTATCGGACATTTGGAGCGCTTTGCAGCCTATGGTAGTAAAAAAATCTAGACAGAAGCAATCTGATAAGCTTCTTTGAGATGTGTGCATTCAACTCACAGAATTAAACCATTTTTTTGATTGTGTATTTTGGAAACTCTCTTTTTGTAGAAGCCGCAAGCAGACATTTGGAGTACTTTGAGGCGTATGGTTGAAAAGGAAATATCTTCACAAAAAAACAAGACAGAAGAATTCTGAGAAACCGCTTTATGATGTGTGAATTCCTCTCACGGAGTTGAAACTTTCTTTTGATTGAGCAGTATGGAGACTGTGTTTTTGTAGAATCTGTAAGTGGACATTTGGAGCACTTTGAGGCCCATGGTGGAAAAGGAAATATCTTAAAATAAAAAATAGGCAGAAGAATTCTGAGAAACTTGTTTGTGATGTATGCATTCATCTCACAAAGTTCAACCTTTGCTTTGATTGAGCAGTTTGGAAACACTGTTTTTGTAGAATCTGCAATTGGACATTTGGAGCGCTTTGCAGCCTATGGTATAAAAGGAAACATCTTCACATAAAATCTAGACAGAAGCAATCTGGGGAACTTTTTTGAGATGTGTGCATTCATCCCACAGAGTTAAACCTTTCTTTTGATTAAGCAGTTTTGAAACTCTCTTTTTGTAGAATCTGCAAGTGGACATTTGAAGCGCTTTGAGGTCTATGGCGGAAAAAAATATACTCACATAAAAACTAGAGAGGAGAATTCTGAGAAACCTCTTCGTGATGTGTGCATTTATCTCATGGAGATGAATCTTTCTTTTGATTGAGCAGTATGCAGACACTGTTTTTGTATAATCTTCAAGTGGACATTTGTAACACTTTGCATCCTATGGTGGAATAGGAAATGTCTTCACCTAAAATCTAGACAAAAGCAATCTGAGAAAGTTTTTGTGATGTGTGCATTCATCTCACAGAGCTAAACCTTTCTTTGATTGAGCAGTTCTGAAACTCTCTTTTTGTAGAATCTGCAAGTGGCCATTTGGAGTACTTGGAGGCCTATGGTGGAAAAGGAAATATCTTCACATAAAAAATAGGCAGAAAAATTCTGAGAAACTTCTTTGTGATGTGTGCGTTCATCCCACAAAGTTGAACCTTTATTTTCTTGAGCAGTATGGAAACAGTCTTTTTGTCAAAGCTGCTAGTGGACTTTTGGAGAGCTTTGCAGTTTATTGAATAAAAAGGAATATTTTCACATTAAATCAAGACAGAAGCAATCTGAGAAACTACTTTATGATGTGTGCATTCATCTCACAGAGTTAAAATTGTCTTTTTATGGAGCAATTTTGAAACTCTCTTTTTGAAGAATCAGCAAGTGGACGTTTGGAGTGTCTTGAGGCCTATGATGGAAAAGGAAATATCTTCACATAAAAACTAGACAGTAGATTTCTGAGAAACTTCTTTCTGATGTGTGCATTCACCTCAAAAATTTAAACATTTCTTTTGATTGGGAGTTTTGAAACTCTCTTTTTGTAGAATCTGCAAATGGACATTTGGAGAGCTTGGATGCCTATGGTGGAAAAGGAAATATCTTCAAATAAAAACTAGGTAGAAGAATCCTGGGAAACTTCTTTGTGATGTGTGCAATCGTTTTTAGGCCTATGGTGGAAAAGGAAATATCTTCACATAAAAACTAGAAAGAAGATTTCTGAGAAAC
>NC_000020.11:28861367-28867524 GCF_000001405.40 Homo sapiens | reverse complement strand
TAGAAAGATTCAACCCTTTGTGATGAATGCACTCATCACAAAGATGTTTCCCAGAATGATTCTGTGTAGTTTTTATTTTAAGATATTTCCTTTTCCAACATAGGCCACAAAGGGCTCCAAAATTCCACCTGCAGATGCTACAAAAAGAGAGATTCAAAACTGCTCAATCAAAAGATATGTTCAACTCTGAGTTGAATGCACACATTGCAAATCATTTTCTCAGAAAGCCTCTGTGTAGTTTTCATGTGAAGATATTTCCTTTTCCACAATAGGCCTCAAATTGCTCCAAATATCCAATTAGAGATTCTACAAAAAGAGAGATTCAAAACTGCTCAATCAAAAGATAAGTACAACTCTGTCAGTTGAATACACACATCACAAAGAAGTTTCCCAGAAAGCCTCTGTGTAGTTTTTATGTGAAGATATTTCCTTTTCCACAATAGGCCACAAAGCCCTCCAAATATCCACTTGCAGATTCTGCAAAAAGAGAGATTCAAAACTGCTCAATCAAAAGATGGGTTCGACTCTGTGAGTTGAATGCACACCTCACAACAAAGTTTCTCAGAATGCTTCTGTGTAATTTTTATTTGAAAATATTTGCTTTTCCACAATAGGCCTCATAGCACCAAAAATATCCACTTGCAGATTCTGCAAAAAGAGAGATTCAAAACTGCTCAATCAAAAGATAGGCTCAACTCTGCGTGTTGAATGCACACATAACAAAGGAGTTTCTCCGAAAAATTCTGTGCAGTTTTTAAGTTATTTCCTTTTCCAAAATAGGCCTCAAAGCCCTCCAAATATCCACTTCCAGATTCTATGAAAAGAGTGTTTCAAAACTGCTCAATCAAAAGAAACTTTCAACTCTGTGTGATGAATGCACTCAACACAAAGAAGTTTCTCAGAATGCTTATTTGTAGTTTTTATTTGAAGATATTTCCTTTTCCAACACAAGGTGCAAAGAGCTCCAAATATCCACTTCCAGATACTACAAAAGGAGAGACTGAAAACTGCTCAATCAAAAAATTCGTTCAACACTGTGAGTTGAATGAACACATAACAGAGAAGTTTGTCAGAATGCTTCTGTGTAGTTTTTATGTGAGGATATTTCCGTTTCCAAAATAAGCCTCAAAGACTTCAAAATATCCACTTCCATCTTCTACAAAAGGAGAGTTTCAAAACTGCTCAATCAAAAGAAAGTTTCAAGTCTGTGATGAATGCACTCATCATAAAGAAGTTTCTCTGAATTCTGAATACTTCTGTGTAGTTTTTATTTGAACATATTTCCTTTTCTACAACAGGTCTCAAAGCTCTCCAAATATCCACTTGCAGGTTCTGGAAAAATACTGTTTCAAAACTGCTCCATGAAAGGAAGTGTTCAACCCTGTGAGATGAATGCACACAACACAAAGACGTTTCTCAGAATGCTTCTATGTAGTTTCTATTTGATGATATGTCCTTTTCCATTGGCCACAAAGGGCTCCAAATATACACTAGCAGATCCTACAAAACAGATATTCAAAACTGCTGAATCAAAAGATACGTTCAACACTGAGAGTTGAATGCACACATCACAAAGAAGTTTCTCAGAATGCTTCTGTGTAGTTTTTATGTGAAGATATTTCCTTTTCCACATTTGGCCTCAAAGCTCTAAAATATCTGCCTGCAGATCCTGCAAAAAGAGTGTTTCAAAACTGCTCAATCAAAGGAAAGATTCAACTCTCTGTGATGAATGCACTCACCACAAAGAAGTTTCTCTGAATGCTTCTGTGTATTATTTATTTGAAGATATTTACTTTTCCACCATAGGTTGCAAAGGGCTCCAAATATCCACTTGCCGAATCTACAAAAAGAGAATTTCAATCAAAAGATAGGTTCAACTATGTGAGTTGGAAGCACACATCACAAAGAAGTTTCCCATCAGGCCTGTAATCCCAGCACTTTGGGAGGCCGAGGTGGGTGGATCATGAGGTCAGGAGATCGAGACCATCCTGGCTAACAAGGTGAAACCCCGTCTCTACTAAAAATACAAAAAATTAGCCGGGCGCGGTGGCGGGCGCCTGTAGTCCCAGCTACTCGGGAGGCTGAGGCAGGAGAATGGCGTGAACCCGGGAAGCGGAGCTTGCAGTGAGCCGAGATTGCGCCACTGCAGTCCGCAGTCCGGCCTGGGCAACAGAGCGAGACTCCATCTCAAAAAAAAAAAAAAAAAAAAAAAAAAAAAAGAAGTTTCCCAGAATTCTTCTGTGTAGTTTTTATGTGAAGATATTTCCTTTTCCACAATAGGCCTCAAATCGCTCCAAATATCCACTTGCAGATTCTACAGAAAGAGTGTTTCAAAACTGCTAAATCAAAAGAAAAGTTCAACCCTGTGAGATGAATGCACACATCACAAGGAAGTTTCTCAGAATGCCTCCAGGTAGTCTTTAGGTGAAGATATTTGCTTTTCCACAGTAGGCCTCAAAGCGCTCCAAATAGCTATTTGCAGATTCTACAAAAAGAGGTTTTGAAAACTGCTCAATCATAAGAAAGGTTCAACCCTGTGAGTTGAATGCACACATCACAAAGACGTTTCTCAGAATCCTTCTGTCTAGTTTTTATTTGAAGATATTTCTTTTCAACCATAGGCCGCAAAGGGCTCCAAATATCCACTTGCAGATTCTACAAAAAGAGAGACTCAGAACTGCTCAAACAAAAGACATGTACAACACTGTGAGTTCAATGCACACATCACAAAGTAGTTTCTCAGAATGTTTCTGTGTAGTTTTTATTTGAAAATATTCCCTTTTCCACAATAGGCATCAAAGCTCTCCAAATATCCACTTGCTGATTCTGCAAAAATAGTGTTTCAAAACTGCTCAGTAAAAAGGAAGGTTCAACACTGTGGAATGAATGCACTCATCACAAAGACGTTTATGTGTAGGATTCTGTGTAGTTTTTATTTGAAGTTATTTCCTTTTCCACCACAGGTTGCAAAGGGCTCCAAATATCCACTTGTAGATTCTACAAAAAGAGACATTCAAAACTGTTCAATGAAAAGACAAGTCCAACTCTGTGGTTTGAATCCACACCTCACAAAGAAGTTTCTCAGAATGCTTCTCTGCAGTATTTATGTGAAGATATTTCCTTTTCCACAATAGGCCTCAAAGCTTTCCAAATATACACTTGCAGATTCTGCAAAAAGAGAGATTCGAAACTGCTCTATCAAAAGGTAGGTTCAACTCTGTGAGTTGAATGCAAACATCACAAAGAAGTTTCTCAGAATGCTTCTGTGTAGTTTTTATGTGAAGATATTTAGTTTTCCACGATAGGGCGAAATGGGGCTCCAAATATCCACTTGCAGATTCTACAAAAAGAGATTCTAAGCTGCTCAACAAAAAGATAGGTTCCACACTGTTAGTTGAATGCACACTTCCCAAAGAAGTTTCTCAGAATGCTTCTGTGTAGTTTTTATGACAAGATATTTCCTTTTCCACAATAGGCCTCAAATCGCTCTAAATATCCACTTGCAGATTCTACAAAAAGAATGTTTCAAAACTGCTAAATCATAAGATAGGAGCAACACTGAGAGTTGAATGTACACATCACAAACAAGTTTCTCAGAATGCTTCTGTGTAGTTTTAACTTGAAGATATTTCATTTTCAAAAACAGGCCTCAATTCTCCCTGAATATCCAATTGGTGATTCTGCAAAAAGAGGGTTTCAATACTGCTCAATAAAAACAAAGGTCCAACTCTGTGTGAGGAATGCATTCATAACAAAGAAGTTTCTCTGAATGCTTCTGCATAGTTTTTATGTGAAGATAATTCCTTATCCACCATAAGGTGTAAAGAGCTCCAAATATCCACTAGCAGATTCTACAAAAAAAGAGACATAAAAGTTCTGAAAGAAAAGATAAGCTCAACTCTATGAGTTGAATGCACACCTCACAAAGAAGTTTCTCAAAATGCTTCTGTATAGTTTTTATATGAAGATTTTTGATTTTTCACAGTAGGCCCCAAAGCGCTCCAAATATCCACTCACAGATTCTGCAAAAAAAGAGAGATTCAAATCTGCTGAATCAAAAGATAGGTTGAACACTGTGACTTCAATGCACACCTCACAAAGGTGTTTCTCAGAAATCTTCAGTGTAGCTTTTATATGAAGATATCTCGTTCGACAAAACAGAACTCAAATAACTCCAAATATTCACTTCCAGATTCTACGGATTGTCTCAAAACTGCTAAATCAAAACAAAGGTTCAACCCTATGATGAATGCACTCATCAGAAAGAAGGTTCTCTGAATGTTTCTGTGTAGTTTCTATTTGGAGATATTTCCTTTTCCACTATAGGGTGAAATAGGGCTCCAAATATTCACTTGCAGATTCTACAAAAAGAGAGATTCTAAACCGCTCAATCAACAGATACGATCAACAATGTGAGTTGAATGCACACATCACAAATAAGTTTCACAGAATGCTTCTGGGTAGTTTTTATTTGAAGAAATTTCCCTTTCCACAATAGGCCATGAATCGCTCTAAATATCCACTTGCAGATTCTACAAAAAAAGTGTTTCAAAACTGCTCAATCAAATTAAAGGTTCTACTCTGTGAGATGAATGCACACATCACAAAGTAGTTTCTCAGAATGCTTCTGCGTAGTTTTTATGTGAACATATTTCCTTCTCCACCATAGGCCTGAAAAGGCTCCAAATATCCACATGCAGAATCTAAAAAAAGAGTGTTTCAAAACTGCTATATCAAAAGAAAGATTCAACTCTGTAAGATGAATGCACAAATCACAAAGAAGTTTCTCAGAATGCTTCTGTGTAGTTTTTATGTGAAGATATTTGTTTTTCCACAGTAGGCCCCAATGAGCTCCAAATACCCACTTGCAGATTCTACAAAAAGAGTGTTTCAAAACTGCTCACTCAACAGAGACATTCAACTCTGTGAGATGAATGCACCCATTACAAAGAAGTTTCTCAGAATGCTTCTGTGTAGTTTTTTTTTTTTTTTTTTTGAGACGGAGTCTTGCTCTCTCGCCCAGGCTGGAGTGCAGAGGCGCGATCTCGGCTCACTGCAAGCTCCGCCTCCCGGGCTCACGCCATTCTCCTGCCTCACCCTCCCGAGTAGCTGGGACTACAGGCGCCCGCTACCACGCCCGGCTAATTTTTTGTATTTTTTTTTAGTAGAGACAGGGTTTCACCGTGTTAGCCAGGATGGTCTCGATCTCCTGACCTCGTGATCCGCCCGCCTCGGCCTCCCAAAGTGCTGGGATTACAGGCGTGAGCCACCGCGCCCAGCCTTCTGTGTAGTTTTTATGTGAAGATATTTGTGTTTCCACAGTAGGCCCCAATGAACTCCAAATATCTACTTGCAGATTCTACAAAAAGAGTGTTTCAAAACTGCTCAATCAACAGAGACATTCAACTCTGTGAGATGAATGCACACATCACAAAGAAGTTTCTCAGGATGCTTCTGTGAAGTTTTTGTGTGAAGATATTTCATTTTCCACAGTAAGCCCCAAAGCGCTCCAAATATCCACTCGCAGGTTCTGTAAAAAGAGAGATTCAAAACTGCTGAATCAAAAGATAGGTTCAACACTCTGACTTCAGTGCACACCTCACAAAAGTGTTTCTCAGAAATCTTCTGTGTAGTTTTTATATGAAGATATCCCTTTATCCAAAACAGAACTCAAAGCCCTCCAAATATTCACTTCCAGTTTCTACGGAAAGATTGTCTCAAAACTGCTAAATGAAAACAAAGGTTCAAATCTGTGATGAATGCACTCATCAGAAAGAAGGTTCTCTGAATGCTTCTGTGTAGTTTCTATTTGAAGATATTTCCTTTTCCACTCTAGGGCGAAATAGGGTTCCAAATATTCACTTGCAGATTCTACAAAAAGAGAGATTCTAAACTGCTCAATCAACAGATACGTTCAACAATGTGAGTTGAAAGCACACATCACAAATAAGTTTCACAGAATGCTTCTGGGTAGTTTTTATTTGAAGAAATTTCCCTTTCCACAATAGGCCTCAAATCGCTCTAAATATATTCTTGCAGATTCTACAAAAAGAGTGTTTCAAAACTGCTCAATCAAAAGAAAGCTTCTACTCTGTGAGATGAATGCACGCAACACAAAGTGGTTTCTCAGAATGCTCTGCATAGTTTTTATGTGAAG
>NC_000020.11:28859997-28861347 GCF_000001405.40 Homo sapiens | reverse complement strand
GAAAAGGAAATATCTTCAAATAAAAACTAGGTAGAAGAATCCTGGGAAACTTCTTTGTGATGTGTGCAATCGTTTTTAGGCCTATGGTGGAAAAGGAAATATCTTCACATAAAAACTAGAAAGAAGATTTCTGAGAAACATCTTTGTGATGCTGGCATTCATCTCACACAGTTGAATCTTCCCTTTGATTTAGCAGTTTGGAAACTCTCTTTTTGTAGATTCTGCAAGTGGACATTTGGAACACCTTCCGGCCTACGTTAGAAAAGGAAATACCTTCACATAAAATCTAGACAGAAGCAATCTGAGAAACTTCTTAGGGAAGTGTTCATTCACCTCAAAGAGTGAAACCTTCTTTTGATTGAGGAGTTTCAAAACTCTCCTTTCATAGAATCTGCAAGTGGACATTTGGAGGGCTTTGAGGAACATTGTGGAAAACAAAATATCTTCACATAAAGACTAGACAGAAGAATTCTGAAAAACTTCTTTGTGATGTGTGCATTCATCTCACAGAGTTAAACCTTTCTTTTGATTGAGGAATTTTGAAACTCTCTTTTTGCAGAATCTGAAATTGGATATTTTGAGTGCTTTGAGGCCTATAGTGGGAAAGGAAATATCTTCACATAAAAACTAGACAGAAGAATTCTGAGAAACTTCTTTGTGTTGTGTGCATTCATCTCACAGAGTTGAAACTTCCTTTTGATTGAGCAGTTTGGAAATACTCTTTTTGTAGAATCTGCAAGTGGACATTTTGTGTGCTTTGCGGCCTATGTTATAAGAGAAAATATCTTCACATAAAATCTAGACTGAAGCAATCTGAGAAAATACTTTGTAATGTGTGCATTCGTCTCACAGAGTTAAACCTTTCTTTTGATTGAACAGTTTTGAAACTCTTTTTGTAGAATCTGCAAGTGGACATTTGGAGTGCTTTGAAGCCTATGGTGGAAAAGGAACTATCTTCACATAAAAACTAGACAGAAGAATTCTGAGAAACTTCGCTTTGATGCGTGCGTTCATCTCACCGAGTTGATCCTTTCTTTTGATTCAGCAGTTTGGAAACACTCTTTTTGTAGAATCTGCATGTGGACATTTGGAACGCTTTGCTGCCTATCTTAGAAAAGGAAATATCTTCACATAGAATGTAGACAGAACCAATCTGAGAAACTTCTTTGTGATGTGTGAATTCATCTCACAGAGTTAAACCTCTCATTTGTTTGAGCGGTTTTTTAACTCTCTTTTTGTATAATCTGCAAGTGGACATTTGGAGCACTTTGAGGCCTATAGTGGAAAAGGAAACATCTTCACCTAAAAACTAGACAGAAGAATTCTGAGAAACTTCTTTGTGATGTGTGA
>NC_000020.11:28820663-28843401 GCF_000001405.40 Homo sapiens | reverse complement strand
ACTGCTCATCATATGATAGGTTCAACCTTGTGAGATGAATGCCCACATCACAAAGTAGCTTCTCAGAATGTTTTTGTGTAGTTTTTATTTGAAGATATTTCCTTTTCCACCATAGGCCACAAAGGGCTCCAAACTTCCACTTGCAGATTCTACAAAAAGAGAGATTCAAAGCTGTTCAATCAAAAGATAGTTTCAACTCTGCGTGTTGAATGCACAAATCACAAAGTAGTTTCTCTGAATGCTTCTGTGTTGTGTTTGTTTATGTGAAGATATTTGCTTTTCCACTATAGGGCAAAATAGGGCTCCAAATATCCACTTGCAGATTCTGCAAAAAGGGAGATTCAAAACTGTACAATCAAAAGATAAGTTCAAATATGTGAGTTGAATGCACACAAAACAAAGAAGTTTCTCAGAATACCTCTGTGTAGTTTTTAGGTGAATATATTTGATTTTCCACAGTAGGCCTCAAAGGGCTCCAAATATCCACTTTCAGATTCTGAAATAAGAGAGATTCAAAACTGCTCAATCAAACGATAGGTTCAAATCTGTGAGTTGAATGCACACCTCACAAAGAAGTTTCTCATAAAGTTTCTGTGTAGTTTTTATGTGAAGATATCTCCTTCTCCAAAATAGGCCCCAATGACCTCCAAATATGCACTTCCAGATTCCATGACAATAGTGCTTCAAAACTGCTCAATCCAAAGAAATGTTCAACACTGTGTGATGAATGCACTCATCACAAAGAAGTTTCTCTGAATGCTTCTGTGTATTTTGTATTTGAAGATATTTCCTCTTCCACCATAGGGCTCATAGGGCTCCAAATATCCACTTGCAGATTCTACAAAAAGAGTATTCCAAAACTGCTCAATCAAAAGAAACGTCTAAAACTGTGAGATGAATGCACACATCACAAAGTAGTTTCTCAGAATGCTTCAGTGTAGTTTTTATGTGAAGACATTAGCTTGTCCACGGAAGGTCTCAAAGCGCTCCAAATATCCACTTGCAGATTCTACAAAATGAGTGTTTCAAAACTGCTCAATCATTAGATAGGTTCAACCCTGTGAGATGAATGCACACATAACAAAGAAGTTTTTCAGAATGCTTCTATGTAGTTTTTATTTGAAGGTATTTCCTTTACCACCATAGGTTGCAAGGGGCTCCAAATATCCACTTGCAGATTCTACAAAAAGAGAGATTCTAAACTGCTCAATCAACAGATACCTTCAACAATGTGAGATGAATGCACACATCACAAATAAGTTTCACAGAATGCTTCTGGGTAGTTTTTATGTGAAGAAATTTCCCTTTCCACAATAGGCCTCAAAACGCTCTAAATATCCACTTGCAGATTCTAAAAAAAGAGTGTTTCAAAACTGCTCAATCCAAAGAAAGGTTCTACTGTATGAGATGAATGCACACATCACAAAGTACTTTCTCAGAATGCTTCTGCATAGTTTTTATGTGAAGATATTTCCTTCTCCACTATAGGCCTCAAAAGGCTCCAAATATCCACTTGCGGATTCTAAAAAAAGAGTGTTTCAAAACTGCTGTATCAAAACAAAGATTCAACTCTGTGAGATGAATGCACAGATCGCAAAGAAGTTTCTCAGAATGCTTCTGTGTAGTTTTTATGTGAAGATATTTGTTTTTCCACAGTAGGCCCCAATGAGCTCCAAATATCCACTTGCAGATTCCACAAAAAGAGTGTTTCAAAACTGCTCAATCAACAGAGACATTCAACTCTGTGAGATGAATGCACCCATCACAAAGAAGTTTCTCAGAATGCTTCTGTGTAGTTTTTGTGTGAAGATATTTCATTTTCCACAGTACGCCTCAAAGCGCTCCAAATATCCACTCGCAGGTTCTGTAAAAAGAGAGATTCAAAACTGCTGAATCAAAAGATAGGTTCAACACTGTGACTTCAGTGCACAACTCACAAAGGTGTTTCTCAGAAATCTTCTGTGTAGTTTTTATATGAAGATATCTCCTTCTCCAAAACAGAACTCAAAGCCCTCCAAATATTCACTTCCAGATTGTACGGAAAGATTGTGTCAAAACTGCTAAATCAAAACAAAGGTTCAACTCTGTGATGAATGCACTCATCAGAAAGAAGGTTCTCTGAATGCTTCTGTGTAGTTTCTATTTGAAGATATTTCCTTTTCCACTATAGGGCGAAATAGGGCTCCAAATATTCACTTGCAGATTCTACAAAAAGAGAGATTCTAAACTGCTCAATCAACAGATACGTTCAACAATTTGAGTTGAATGCACACATCACAAATAAGTTTCACAGAATGCTTCTGGGTAGTTTTTATTTGAAGAAATTTCCCTTTCCACAATAGGCCTCAAATCGCTCTAAATATATTCTTGCAGATTCTACAAAAAGAGTGTTTCAAAACTGCTCAATCAAAAGAAAGCTTCTACTCTGTGAGATGAATGCACGCATCACAAAGTGGTTTCTCAGAATGCTTCTGCATAGTTTTTATGTGAAGATATTTCCTTCTCCACTACAGGTCTCAAAAGGCTCCAAATATCCACTTGCAGATTCGAAAAAAAGACTGTTTCAAAACAGCTCAATCCAAAGAAAGGTTCTACTCTGTGAGATGAATGAACACATCATAAAGTAGTTTCTCAGAATGCTTCTGCATAGTTTTTATGTGAAGATATTTCCTTCTCCACTATAGGCCTCAAAAGGCTCCAAATATCCACTTGCGGAATCTAAAAAAAGAGTGCTTCTAAACTTCTGTATCAAAAGAATGATTCAACACTGTGAGATGAATGCACAGATAACAAAGAAGTTCCTCAGAATGCTTCTGTGTAGTTTTTATGTGAAGATATTTGTTTTTCCACAGTAGTCCCCAATGAGCTCCAAATATCCACTTGCAGATTCTACAAAAAGAGTGTTTCAAAACTGCTCAATCAACAGAGACATTCAACTCTGTGAGATGAATGCACCCATCACAAAGAAGTTTCTCAGAATGCTTCTGTGTAGTTTTTATGTGAAGATATTTCCTTCTACACTGTAGGCCTGAAATGACTCCAAATATCCTTTTACAGATTCTAAAAAAAGAGTGTTTCAAAACTGCTGTATCAATAGAAACATCCAACTCTGTGAGATGAATGCACAGATCACAAAGAAGTTTCTCAGAATGCTTCTGTGTAGTTTTTATGAGAAGTTATTTGTTTTTCCACTGTAGGCCCCAATGAGCTCCAAATATCCACTTGCAGATTCTACAAAAAGAGTGTTTCAAAACTGCTCAATCAACAGAGACATTCAACTCTGTGAGATGAATGCACACATCACAAACAAGTTTTGCCGAATGCTTCTGTGTAGTTTTTGTGTGAAGATATTTCATTTTCAACAGTACGCCTCAAAGCGCTCCAAATATCCACTCTCAGATTCTGTAAAAAGAGAGATTCAAAACTGCTGAATCAAAAGATAGGTTCAACACTGTGACTTAGGTGCACAATTCACAAAGATGTTCCTCAGAAATCTTCTGTGTAGTTTTTATATGAAGATATCTCCTCCTCCAAAACAGATCTCAAAGCCCTCCAAATATTCACTTCCAGATTGTACGGAAAGATTGTGTCAAAACTGCTAAATCAAAACAAAGGTTCAACTCTGTGATGAATGCACTCATCAGAAAGAAGGTTCTCTGAATGCTTCTGTGTAGTTTCTATTTGAAGATATTTCCTTTTCCAATATAGGGCAAAATAGGGCCCCAAATATTCACTTGCAGATTCTACAAAAAGAGAGATTCTAAACTACTCAATCAACAGATACCTTCAACAATGTGAGTTGAATGCACACATCGCAAATAAGTTTCACAGAATGCTTCTGGGTAGTTTTTAGTTGAAGAAATTTCCCTTTCCACAATAGGCCTCAAATCACTCTAAATATCCACTTGCAGATTCTACAAAAAGAGTGTTTCAAAACTGCTCAATCCAAAGAAAGGTTGTACCCTGTGAGATGAATGCACGCATCACAAAGTAGTTTCTCAGAATGCTTCTGCATAGTTTTTATGTGAAGATATTTCCTTCTACACTGTAGGCCTGAAAAGGCTCCAAATATCCATTTACAGATTCTAAAAAAGAGTGTTTCAAAACTGCTATATCAATAGAAACATCCAACTCTGTGAGATGAATGCACAGATCACAAAGAAGTTTTTCAGAATGCTTCTGTGTAGTTTTTATGTGAAGATATTTGATTTTCCACAGTAGGCCCCAATGAGCTCCAAATATCCACTTGCAGATTCCACAAAAAGAGTGTTTCAAAACTGCTCAATCAACAGAGACATTCAACTCTGTGAGATGAATGCACACATCACAAAGAAGTTTCTCAGAATGCTTCTGTGTAGTTTTTGTGTGAAGATATTTCATTTTCCACAGTACGCCTCAAAGCGCTCCAAATATCCACTCTCAGATTCTGTAAAAAGAGAGATTAATAACTGCTCAGTCAAAAGATAGGTTCAGCTCTGTGAGTTGAATGCACACCTTTCAAAGAAGTTTCTCAGAATGCTTCTTTGTAGTTTTTGTGTGAAGATATCTCCTTCTCCAAAATAGGCCTCAAAGCCCTCCAAATATCCACTTCCAGATTCTACGAAAAGAGTGTTTCAAAACTGCTCTACCCAAAGAAATTTTCAACTCTGTGTGATGAATGCATTCATAACAAAGAAGTTTCTCTGAATCTTTTGTGTATTTTTTATTAAAAGATATTTCCTTTTCCACCATAGGTCTCACAGGGCTCCAAATATCCACTTGCAGATTCCACAAAAATAGGGATTCTAAACTGCTCAATCAAAAGAGAGGTTCAACACTGTCAGTTGAATGCACACATCACAAAGAAGTGTTCAGAATGCTTCTGTATAGTTTTTATGTGAATATATATCCTTTTCCACCGTAGGCCTCAAATGGTTCCAAATATCCACTTGCAGATTATACAAAAAGAGAGCTTCAAAACAGCTCCATCAAAAGATATGTTCAACTCTGTGAGTTGAATGCACGCATCACAAAGAAGTTTCTCAGAATGCTTCTGTGTAGTTTTTATTTGAAGATATTTTCTTTTCCACAATAGGCCTCAAATCTCTCCAAATATCCACTCGCAGGTTCTGTAAAAAGAGAGATTCAAAACTGCTCAATCAAAAGATTGGTTCGACTCCTTGAGTTGAATGCAAACAAAACAAAGAAGTTTCTCAGAATTCTTCTGTGTAGTGTTTATTTGAAGATATTTTCTTTTCCACAATACGCCTCAAAGCACTTCAAATATCCACTCACAGATTCTGCACAAAGAGAGGTTCAAAACTGCTCAATCAAAAGATAGGTCCAACTCTTTGAGTTGAATGCACACCTCACAAAGA
Source organism: Homo sapiens (assembly GCF_000001405.40). Classification (NCBI taxonomy): domain Eukaryota; kingdom Metazoa; phylum Chordata; class Mammalia; order Primates; family Hominidae; genus Homo; species Homo sapiens. The sequence continues at coordinate 28,838,044 of NC_000020.11, read as the reverse complement.
AGTTTCTCATAATTCTTCTGTGTAGTTTTTATGTGAAGATATCTCTTTCTCCAAAATAGGCCTCAAAGCCCTCCAAATATCCACTTCCAGATTCTACAAATAATGCTTAAAACCTTCTCAATCCAAGGAAAGGTTCAACTCTGTGAGTTGAATGCACACATCACCAAGAAGTTTCTCAGAATGCTTCTGTGTGGTTTTTATCTGAAAATATTTGCTTTTCCATGGTAGGCCTCAAAGCGCTCCAAATATCCACTAGCCGATTATTCAAAGAGTGTTTTAAAACTGCTCAATCATAAGATAGGTTCAACCCTGTGAGGTGAATGCACACATCAAAAAGATGTTTCTCAGAATGCTTCTTTGTAGTTTTTAGTTAAGGATATTTCCTTTTCCACCATAGGCCAAAAAGGTCTCCAAATATCTAGTTTCAGAGTCTACAAAAAGAGAGATTCAAAACTGCTCAATCAAAAGATAAGTTCAACTCTGTGAGTTGAATGCACACATCACACAGAAGTTTCTAAGAATGCTTCCATGGAGTGTTTATGTGAAGATATTTGCTTTTCCACAGTAGGCCTCAAACGGCTCCAAATATCCACTTGCAGATTCTGCAAAAAGAGAGGTTCAAAACTGCTCAATTGAAACATAGTTCCAACTCTGTGAGTTAAACGCACACATGACAAAGCACATTCTCAGAATACTTCTGTATAGTTTTTAGGTGAAGATATTTTCTTTTCAAAAATAGACCTCAAATCCCTCCAAATATCTACTTCCAGATTCTACAAAAAGAGTGTTTCAAAACTGCTGAATCAATGAAAGGTTTCACTCTGTTTGATGAATGCACTCGTCACAAAGAAGTTTCTCTGAATGATTCTGTGCAGTTTTTATTTGAAGATATTTCCTTTTCCACCATAGGGCACAAAAGACTCCAAATATCCACTTGCACATTCTAAAAAAAGAGAGATTCAAAACTGCTCAATCAAAAGATAGGTTCAACTGTGTGAGTTGAATGCACACATCACAAAGTAGTTTCTCAGAATGCTTTTGTGTAGATTTTATGTGAAGATAGTACGTTATCCACTGTAGGCATCAAATCGCTCCAGATATAGACTTACAGATTCTAAACAAAGAGTGTTTCAAAACTGCTCAATCAAAAGAAAGTTTCAACTCTGTCAGATGAATGCACACATCACAAAGGAGTTTCTAAGAATGTTTCTGTGTAGTGGTTATGTGAAGATATTTGCTTTTCCACTGTAGGCCTCAAAGCGCTCCAAATATCCACTTGCAGATTCTGCAAAAATAGTGTTTCAAAACTGCTCAATCAAAAGAAATGTTCAACTCTGTGAGATGAATGCACACATCACAAAGCAGTTTCTCAGAATGCTTCTGTGTAGTTTTTATGTGAAGATAATTTCTTTTCCATGGTAGGCCCCAATATGCTCCAAATATCCACTTGCATATTCTACAAAAAGAGTTTTTCTAAACTGCTCAATCATAAGATAGGTTCAACCCTGTGAGATGAATGCACACATCACAAAGATGTTTCTCAGAATTCTTCTGTGTAGTTTTATGTGAAGATTTTTTTTCCATCATAGGCCTCAATGCGCTCTGAATACCCACTTGCAGATTCTACAAAAAGAGAGATTCAAAACTGCTCAATCAAAAGATAGGTTCAACTCTGTAAATTGAATGTACACATCACAAAGAAGTTTCTCAGAACGCTTCTGTGTAGTTTTTATGTGAGGATATATCCTTTTCCACCATAGGCTGCAAAGGGCTCCAAATATCCACTTGCAGATTCTACAAAAAGACATATTCAAAACTGCTATGTGAAAAGATAGGATCAACTCTGTGAGACGTGTGCACACATCACAAAGAAGTTTCTCAGAATGCTTTTGTGTAGTTTTTATGTGAAGATATTTCCTTTTCCACAGCAGGCCTCAAAGCCCTCCAAATATCCACTTCCAGATTCTACAAAAGGAGAGTTTTAAAACTGTTCTATCAAAAGATAAGTTCAACTCTGTGAGTTGAATGCACACATCACAAAGAAGTTTCTCAGAATGCTTACGTGTAGCATTTATGTGAAGATATCTCCTTTTCCACAACAGGCCTCAAAGCCCTCCAAATATCTACTTGCAGATTCCACAAAAAGAGAGTTTCAAAACTGCTCTGTCAAAAGATAGGTTCAACTCTGTGAGATGAATGCACACATCACAAAGAAAGTTCTCAGAATGCTTCAGTGTAGTTTTCATGTGAAGATATTTCTTTTCCCACAATAGGCCCCAAATCGCTCCAAGTAACTACTTGTGGATTCTACAAAAAGAGTGTTTCAAAACTGCTCAATCAACAAAGACATTCAACTCTGTGAGATGAATGCACACATCACAAAGAAGTTTTGCCGAATGCTTCTGTGTAGTTTTTGTGTGAAGATATTTCATTTTCAACAGTACGCCTCAAAGCCCTCCAAATATCCACTCTCAGATTCTGTAAAAAGAGAGATTCAAAACTGCTGAATCAAAAGATACGTTCAACAACGTGACTTCCGTGCACAACTCACAAAGGTGTTTCTCAGAATGCTTCTGTATAGTTTTTATATGAAGATATCTCCTTCTCCAAAACAGAACTCAAAGCCCTCCAAATATTTACTTGCAGATTCTACGGAAAGATTGTCTCAAAACTGCTAAATCAAAACAAAGGTTCAACTCTGTGATGAATGCTCTCATCAGAAAGAAGTTTCTCTGAATGCTTCTGTGTAGCTTCTATTTGAAGATATTTCCTTTTCCACTATAGGGCGAAATAGGGCTCCAAATATTCACTTGCAGATTCTACAAAAAGAGAGATTCTAATCTGCTCAATCAACAGATACTTTCAACATTGTTGGTTGAATGCACACATCAGAAAGAAGTTTATCAGAATGCTTCTGTGTAGCTTTTAGGTGAAGATATTTCCTTTTCCACCATAGGCAACAAAGGGCTCCAAATATGCACTTGGAGATTCTACATAAAGAGAGTTTCAAAACTGCTCTGTCAAAAGTTAAGTTCAACTCTGTGAGTTGAATGCACACACCACAAAGAAGTTTCTCAGAATGCTTCTGTAGAGTTTTTATATGAAGATGTTTCCTTGTCCACCATAGGCTTCAAAGCGCTCCAAATATCCACCTGCAGATTCAACAAAAAGAGAGTTTCCAAACGGCTCAATCAAAAGAAAAGTTCAACTTTGTGAGATGAATGCACACATCACAAACAACTTTCTCAGAATGCTTCTGTGAAGTTTTTGTGTGAAGATATTCCCTTTTCCACCATAGGCCTCAAAGCACTCCAAATATCAACCTGCAGATTCTACAAAAAGAGTGTTTCAAAACTGCTAAATCCAAAGAAAGCTTCAACTCTGTGAGAAGAATGCACACATCACAAAGAAGTTTCTCAGAATGCTTCTGTGTAGATTTATGTGAAAACATTTCCTTTTCCATAATAGGCCTCAAAGCACTCCAAATATCCACTTGCAGATTCTGCAAAAAGAGTGTTTCCGAACTGCTCAATGAAAACAAAGTTTCAACTCTGTGAGATGAATGCACATATCATAACGGAGATTCTCAGAATGCTTCTGTGCAGTTGTTAGGTGAAGATATTTCCTTTTCCAACATAGGCCTCAAAGCATTGCAACTATCCACATGCAGATTCTACAAAAGTGAGTTTCAAAGCTGCTCTATCAAAAGATAGGTTCAACTGTAAGAGTTGAATGCACACATCACAAAGAAGTTTTTCAGAATGCTTCTGTGTAGTTTTTATGTGAAGATGTTTCCTTTTCCACCATAGGCCTCAAAGTGCTCCTAATATCCACTTGCAGATTGTGCAAAAAGATTGTTTCAAAACTGCTCATTCAAATGAAAGTTTCAACTCTGTGAGATGAATCCACACATCACAAAGAAATTTCTCAGAATGCTTCTGTGTAGTTTTATTCATTTTATTATTATTATACTTTAAATTTTAGGGTACATTTCCCCAAATTGCAGGTTAGTTACATATGTATACATGTGCCATGTTGGTGTCCTGCATCCATTAACTCGTCACTTAGCATTAGGTTTATCTCCTAAAGTTATCGCTCACCTCTCTCCCCACCCCACAACAGTCCCCAGAGTGTAATGTTCCCCTTCCTGTGTCCATGTGTTCTCATTGTTCAATTCCCTCCTATAAGTGAGAATATGCTGTGTTTGGTTTTTTATTCTTGCGATAGTTTACTGAGGATGATGATTTCCAATTTCATCCATGTTCCTACAAAGGACATGAACTCGTCATTTTTTATGGCTGCATAGTATTCCACGGTGTATATGTGTCACATTTTCTTAATCCAGTCTATCATTGTTGGACATTTGGGTTGGTTCCAAGTCTTTCCTATTGTGCATAGTGCCGCAATAAACATACGTGTGCATGTGTCTTTATAGCAGGATGATTTATAGTCCTTTGGGTATATGCCCAGTAATGGGATGGCTGGGTCAAATGGTATTTCTTGTTCTAGATCCTTGAGGAATCGCCACACTGACTTCCACAATGGTTGAACTAGTTTACATTCCCACCAACAGTATAAAAGTATTCCTATTTCTCCACATCCTCTCCAGCACCTGTTGTTTCCTGACATTTTAATGATTGCCATTCTAACTGGTGTGAGATGGTATCTCATTGTGGTTTTGATTTGCATTTCTCTGATAGCCAGTGATGGTGAGCATTTTTTCATGTGTTTTTTGGCTGCATGAATGTCTTCTTTTGAGAAGTGTCTGTTCATGTCCTTCGCCCACTTTTTGATAGGGTTATTTATTTTTTCTTCTAAATTTGTTTGAGTTCATTGTAGATTCTGAATATTATCCCTTTGTCAGATGAGTAAGTTGCCAAAATTTTCTCCATTTTGTAGGTTGCCTGTTCATTCTGCTGGTAGTTTATTTTGCTGTGCAGAAGCTCTTTAGTTTAATTATATCCCATTTGTCAATTTTGGCTTTTGTTGCCATTGCTTTTGATGTTTTAGACATGAAGTCTTTGGCCATGCATATGTCCAGAATGGTAATGCCTACATTTTCTTCTATGGTTTTTATGGTTTTATGTCTAATGTTTAAAGCTTTAATCCATCTTGAATTAATTTTTGTATAAGGTGTGAGGAAGAGATCCAGTTTCAGCTTTCCACATATGGCTAGCCAGTTTTCCCAACACCATTAGTTGAATAGGAAATCCTGTCCCTATTTCTTGTTTTTCTCAGATTTATCAAAGAGCAGATAGTTATAGATATGTGGCATTATTTTTGAGGGTCCTATTCTGTTCCATTTTTCTATACCTCTGTTTTGGTATCAGTACCATGCTTCTCTGTAGTTTTTATGTGAAGATATTACCTTTTCCACCTTAGGCTGCAAATGGCTCCAAATATCCACATGCAGATGCTACAAAAAGAGAGGTTCAAAACTGCTCTATCAAAAGATAGGTTCAATTTGACAGTTGAATGCACACATCAAAAAGAAGTTTCTCAGAATGCTTCTGTGAAATTTTTATGTGAAGAGCGTTCATTTTCCAACATAGACCTCAAAGCGATTCAAATATCCACTTGCAGCTTCTACAAAAAGAGTGTTTCAAAACTGTGCAATCAAATGAAAGGTTCAATTCTGTGAGATGAATGCACACATCACAAAGACGTTTCTCAGAATACTTCTGTGTTGTTTTTATGTGAAGATATTTCCTTTCCACGATAGACCACAAAGGGACCCAAATATCCACTTGCAGATTCTACAAAAAGAGAGTTTCAAAACTGCTCTATCAAAAGATAGGTTCACCTCTGTGAGTTGAATACACACATCACAAAGTACTTTCTCAGAATGCTTCTGTGTAGTTTTTATGTGAAGATATTTCCTTTTCTACCTTAGGCCTAAAAGTGCTCAAAGTATCCATTTTCATACTCTACAAAAAGAGTGTTTCAAAACTGCTAAATCAAAAGAAAGGGTCAACTCTGTGAGACGAATGCACACATCACAAGAAATTTCTCACAATATGTCTGTGTAATTTTTTTGTGGAGATAATTCCTTTTCCATAATAGTCCTCAAAGTGCTCCAAATAACCACCCGCAGGTTCTACAAAAAGACTGTTTCAAAACTGCTCAATCAAAGGAGAGGTTCAACTGTGTGATATGAATGCAAACATCACAAAGAAGTTTCTCAGAGTGGTTCTCTGTAGTTTTTATGTGAAAATATTTCCTTTTCCACAATAGGCCTCAAAGCACTTCAAATATCCACTTGCAGATGCCTTACAAAGAGTGTTTCAAAACTGCTGTCTCAAAAGATAGGTTCAGCATTTTGAGTTGAATGTTCACATGACAAAGAAGTTTCTCAGAATGCTTCTGTGTAGTTTTAATTAGAAGATATTTCCTTTTGCCCAAAAGGCTGCAAAGGGCTCCAAATATCCACTCGCAGATTCTACAAAAGAAGAGTTTCAAAACTGCTCTATCAAAAGATAGTTTCAACTCTGTGAGATGAATGCACACATCACAAAGAAGTGTCTCAGAATGCTTCTGTGTAGTTTTTATGTGAAGATATTTCCGTTTCCACCGTAGGCTGCAAAGGGCTCCAAATATCCACTTGCAGATTCTACAAAAAGAGTTTCAAAACTGCTCAATCAAATGAACGGTTTATCTCTGTGAAATGAAGGCACACATCACAAAGAAGTTTCTCAGAATTCTTCTGTGTAGTTTTTATGTGAAGATATTTCCTTTTCCACAATAGGACTCAAAGCGCTCCATATATCCACTTGTAGATTTTACAAAAAGAGGGTGTACAAACTGCTCAAAAGACGAAAGGGTTCAAATTTGTGAGATGAATGCACACATCACAAACAAGTTTCTCAGAATGATACTGTGTAGTTTTTATGTGAAGATAATTCCTTTTCCACCATAGGCCGCTAAGGGCTCCAAATATCCATTTGCAGATTCTACAGAAAGAGTTTCAAAACTGCTCTATCAAAAGATAGGTTCATCTCTGTGAGATGAACGCACACATCACAAAGAAGTTTCTCAGAATGCTTCTGTGTAGTTTTTACAAAAAGAGTGTTTCAAAACCGCTCTATCAAATGAAAGGTTCAACTCTGTGAGATGAGTGGACACATCACAAAGAAGTTTCTCAGAATGCTTCTGTGTAGTTTTTATGTGAAGATATTTCGTTTTCCACTGTAGGCTGCAAAGGACTCCAAATATCCACTTGCAGATTCTACAAAAAGAAATTTTCAAAACTGCTATATGAAAAGATAGCTTCAACACTGTGAGACGTATGCACTCATAACAAAGAACTTTCTCAGAATGCTTCTGTGTAGTTTTTATGTGAAGATATTTCCTTTTCCACCACAGGCCTCAAAGCCCTCCAAATATCCACTTCCAGATTCTACAAAAGGAGAGTTTTAAAACTGCTCTGTCAAAAGATAAGTTCAACTCTGAGTTGAATGCACACATCACAAAGAAGTTTCTCAGAATGCTTCTGTGTAGTTTTGATGTCAAGATATTTCCTTTTCCTACCTAGGCTGCAAAGAGCTCCGAGTATCCACTTGCAGATTCTATAAAGAGAGAGTTTGAAAACTGCTCTATCAAAAGAAAAGTTCATCTCTGTGAGTTGAATGCACACATCACAAAGAAGTTTCTCAGAATGATTCTGTGTAGTTTTTATGTGAAGATATTTGCTTTTCCTACGTAGGACACAAAAGACTCCAAATATCCACTTGCAGATCCTACAAAAAGAGAGTTTCAAAACTGCTCTATCAAAGGATAGTCTCAACTCTGTGAGGTGAATGCACACATCACAAAGAAGTTTCTCAGAATACTTCTGTATAGTTTTTAAGTGAAGATATTTCCTTTCCCACATAGGCTCCAAATCGATCCAAATAACTACTTGCAGATTCTACAAAAAGAGTGTTTCCAAACTGCTAAATTGAAAGAAAGTTTCAAATCGATGAGTTGAATGCACACCTCACAAAGAAGTTTCTCAGAATGCTTCTGTGTAGTTTTCATGGGAAGTTATTTCCTTTTCCACCATATGCCTCAAGCTCTCCATATATCCATTTGCAGATTCTACAAAAAGAGTGTTTCCAAACTTCTCAATTGAAAGAGAGGTTCAACTCCGTGAGATGAATGCATACATCACAAAGAATTTTCTCAGAATGCTTTTGTGCAGTTTTTGTAAGAAGATATTTAGTTTTCCACCATAGGCTGCAAAGGTTTTCAAATATCCACTTGCTGATTCTACAAAAAGAGATTTTCAAAACTGCTCTATCAAAAGATAGGTTCAGCTCTATGAGTTGAATGCACACATCAAAAAATAGTTCCTCAGAATACTTCTGTGTAGCATTTATGGAAAGATATTTCCTTTCCCACCATAGGATACAAAACGCTCCAAATATCCACTTCCAGATTATACAAAAAGTGATTCTATCTTTGGCTCTGTTTATATGCTGGATTACATTTATTGATTTGCACATATTGAACCAGCCTTGAATCCCAGGGATGAAGCCCACTTGATCATGGTGGATCAGCTTTTTCATGTGCTGCTGGATTCGGTTTGCCAGTATTTTATTGAGGATTTTTGCATCAATGTTCATCAAGGATATTGGTCTGAAATTCTCTTTTTTGGTTGTGTCTCTGCCCGGCTTTGGTATCAAGAATGATGCTGGCCTCATAAAATGAGTTAGGGAGGATTCCCTCTTTTTCTAATGATTGGAATAGTTTCAGATGTAATGGTACCAGTTCCTCCTTGTACCTCTGGTAGAATTCGGCTGTGAATCCATCTGGTCCTGGACTCTTTTTGGTTGGTAAGCTATTGATTATTGCCACAATTTCAGATCCTGTTATTGGTCTATTCAGAGATTCAACTTCTTCCTGGTTTAGTCTTGGGAGAGTGTATGTGTCGAGGAATTTATCCATTTCTTCTAGATTTTCTAGTTTATTTGTGTAGAGGTGTTTGTAGTATTCTCTGATGGTAGTTTGTATTTCTGTGGGATTGGTGGTGATATCCCCTTTATCATTTTTTATTGCGTCTATTTAATTCTTCTCTCTTTTTTTCTTTATTAGTCTTGCTAGCTGTCTATCAATTTTGTTGATCCATTCAAAAAACAGCTCCTGGATTCATTAATTTTTTGAAGGGTTTTTTGTGTCTCTATTTCCTTCAGTTCTGCTCTGATTTTAGTTATTTCTTGCCTTCTGCTAGCTTTTGAATGTGTTTGCTCTTGCTTTTCTAGTTCTTTTAATTGTGATGTTAGGGTGTCAATTTTGGATCTTTCCTGCTTTCTCTTGTGGGCATTCAGTGCTATAAATTTCCCTCTACACACTGCTTTGAATGCATCCCAGAGATTATGGTATGTTGCGTCTTTTTTCTCGTTGGTTTCAAAGAACATCTTTATTTCTGCCTTCATTTCATTATGTACCCAGTAGTCATTCAGGAGCAGGTTGTTCAGTTTCCATGTAGTTGAGCGGTTTTGAGTGAGATTCTTAACCCTGAGTTCTAGTTTGATTGCACTGTGGTCTGAGAGATAGTTTGTTATAATTTCTGTTCTTTTACATTTGCTGAGGAGAGCTTTACTTCCAAGTATGTGGTCAATTTTGGAATAAGTGTGGTGTGGTGTTGAAAAAAATGTATATTCTGTTGATTTGGGGTGGAGAGTTCTGTAGATGTCTGTTAGGTCCACTTGGTGCCGAGCTGAGTTCAATTCCTGGGTATCCTTGTTGACTTTCTGTCTCGTTGATCTGTCTAATGTTGACAGTGGGGTGTTGAAGCCTCCCATTATTAATGTGTGGGTGTATAAGTCTCTTTGTAGATCAGTCAGGACTTGCTTTATGAATCTGGGTGATCCTGTATTGGGTGCATATATATTTAGGATAGTTAGCTCTTCTTGTTGAATTGATCCCTTTACCATTATGTAATGGCCTTCTTTGTCTCTTTTGATCTTTGTTGGTTTAAAGTCTGTTTTATCAGAGACTAGGATTGCAACCCCTGCCTTTTTTTTGTTTTCCATTTGCTTGGTAGATCTTCCTCCATTCTTTTATTTTGAGCCTATGTGTGAAAACCACATGATTATCTCAATAGATGCAGAAAAGGCCTTTGACAAAATTCAACAACCTTTCATGCTAAAAACTCTCAATAAATTAAGTATTGATGGGACATATTTCAAAATAATAAGAGCTATCTATGTCAAACCCACAGCCAGTATCATACTGAATGGGCAAAAACTGGAAGCATTCACTTTGAAAACTGGCACAAGACAGGGATGCCCTCTCTCACCACTCCTATTCAACATAGTGTTGGAAGTTCTGGCCAGGGCAATTAAGCAGGAGAAGGAAATAAAGGGTGTTCAATTAGGAAAAAAGGAAGTCGAATTGTCCCTGTTTGCAGATGACTTGATTGTATATCTAGAAAACCCATTGTCTCAGCCCAAAATCTCCTTAAGCTGATAAGCAACTTCAGCAAAGTCTCAGGATACAAAATCAATGTGCAAAAATCACAAGCATTCTTATACACCAACAACAGACAAACAGAGAGCCAAATCATGAGTGAACTACCATTCACAATTGCTTCAAAGAGAATAAAATAGCTAGGAATCCAACTTACAAGGGATGTGAAGGACCTCTTCAAGGAGAACTACAAACCGCTGCTCAAGGAAATAAAAGAGGATACAAACAAATGGAAGAATATTCCATGCTCATGGGTAGGAAGAATCAATATCGTGAGAATTGCCATACTGCCCTACATAATTTACAGATTCAATGCCATCCCCATCAAGCTACCAATGCCTTTCTTCACAGAATTGGAAAAAACTACTTTAAACTTCATATGGAAACAAAAAAGAGCCTGCATCACCAAGTCAATCCTGAGCCAAAAGAACAAAGCTGGAGGCATCACACTACCTGACTTCAAACTATACTACAAGGCTACAGTAACCAAAACAGCATGGTACTGGTACCAAAACAGAGATATAAATCAATGGAACAGAACAGAGCCCTCAGAAATAATGCCACATATCTACAATTATCTGATCTTTGACAAACCTGAGAAAAACAAGCAATGGGGAAAGGATTCCCTATTTAATAAATAGTGCTGGGAAAACTGGCTAGCCATATGTAGAAAGCTGAAACTGGATCCCTTCCTTACACCTTATACAAAAATCAATTCAAGATGGATTAAAGACTTAAATGTTAGACCTAAAACCATAAAAACCCTAGAAGAAAACCTAAGCATTACCATTCAGGACATAGGCATGGGCAAGGACTTCATGTCTAAAACACCAAAAGCAGTGGCAACAAAAGCCAAAATTGACAAATGGGATCTAATTAAACTAAAGAGCTTCTGCACAGCAAAAGAAACTACCATCAAAGTGAACAGGCAACCTACAAAATGGGAGAAAATTTTCACAACCTACTCATCTGACAAAGGGCTAATATCCAGAATCTACAAAGAACTCAAACAAATTTACAAGAAAAAAAAAAAAACAACCCCATCAAAAAGTTGGCAAAGGACATGAACAGACACTTCTCAAAAGAAGACATTTATGCAGCCAAAAAACACATGAAGAAATGCTCACCATCACTGGCCATCAGAGAAATGCAAATCAAAACCACAATGAGATAAAGTTTCACACCAGTTATAATGGCAATCATCAAAAAGTCAGGAAACAACAGGTGCTGGAGAGGATGTGGAGAAATAGGAACACTTTTACACTGTTGGTGGGACTGTAAACTAGTTCGACCATTTTGGAAGTCAGTGTGGCGATTCCTCAGGGATTTAGAACTAGAAATACCATTTCACCCAGCCATCCCATTACTGGGTATGTACCCAAAGGACTATAAATAATGCTGCTATAAAGACACATGCAGATGTATGTTTATTGTGGCATTATTCACAAGAGCAAAGACTTGGAACCAACCCAAATGTCCAACAATGATAGACTGGATTAAGAAAATATGGCACATATACACCATGGAATACTATGCAGCCATAAAAAATGATGAGTTCATGTCCTTTGTAGGGACATGGATGAAATTGGAAATCATCATTCTCAGTGAACTATCACAAGAACAAAAAACCAAACACCGCATATTCTCAGTTACAGGTGGGAATTGAACAATGAGAACACATGGACACAGGAAGGGGAACATCACACTCTGGGGACTGTTGTGAGGAGGGGGGAGGGATAGAATTGGGATATATACCTAATGCTAGATGATGACTTAGTTGGTGCAGCGAACCAGCATGTCACATGTATACATATGTAGCTAACCTGAACATTGTGTACATGTACCCTAAAACTTAAAGTATAATAATGAATAAATAAATAAATAAATAAATAAATAATTCTATGAACATAAAAAAAGAAAGAAACCCAAACTGCTCTTTAAAAAAAAAAAAACTAGACAGAAAAATTCTGAGAAACTTTGTTGTGATGTGTGCGTTCACCTCACCGAGTTCAACCTTTCTTTTGATTGAGCAGTTAGGAAACACTCTTTTTGTGTTTCTTCTGCAAGTGGACATTTGGAGCACTTTGTGGCCAATGGTAGAAAAGGAAATATCTTCACATAAAATTTAGACACAAGAAATCTGAGAAACTTCTTTGTAATATATGCATTCACATCACACAGTTAAACCTTTCTTTTGATAAAGCAGTTTTGAAACTCTCTTTTTGTAGAACCTGCAAGTGTACATTGGAGCGCTTTGAGGCCTATGGTGGAAAAGGTAATATCTTCAACATAAAAACTAGACTGAAGAATTCCGACAAACTTGTTTGTGATGTGTGTGTTCATTTCACAGAGTTGAACCTCTCTTTTGATGGAGCAGTTTGGAAACACTCTTAATGTAGAATCTTCAAGTGCACATTTGGAGAGCTCTGTGGCCTATGGTACAAAAGGAACTATTTTCACATGAAACCTAGACAGAAGCAGTCTCAGAAACTTCTTTGTGATGTGTGCATTCATCTCACACAGTTAAAACTTCCCTTTGATTGAGCAGTTTAGAAACTCCCTTTTGTGGAATCTGCAAGTGTACATTGGAAGTGCTTTCAGGCCCATGGTGGAAAAGGTAATATCTTCACATAAAAACCAGACAGAAGAATTCTGAGAAACTTCTTTGTGATATCTGCGTTCATCTCACAGATTTGAAACTTTCTTTTGATTGAGCAGTTTGGAATCACTCTTTTTGTAGAATCTGCATGTGGACATTTGGAGCACTTTGCGGCCTATTGTAGAAAAGGTAATATGTTCACATAAATTCCAGACAGAAGCAATCTGAGAAACTACTTTGTGATGTGTGCATTCATGTCACACAGTTAAAATTTTCTTTTGATTGAGCAGTTTTGAAACTCTCTTTTTGTAGAATCTGCAAGTAGACATTTGGAGCACTAGGTGGCCTATGGTGGAAAAGGAAATATCTTCCCATAAAAACTAGATAGAAGAATTCTGAGAAACTTCTTTGTGATGTGTGCGTTCATCTCATAGAGTTGAACCATACTTTTGATTGAGCAGTTTGGAAACCCTCTTTTTGTAGAATCTGCAAGTAGACATACGGAGCGCTATGCGGCCTATGGTAGAAAAGGAAATATCTTCACATAAAATCTAGACAGAAGCAATCTGAGGAACTTCTTTGTGATGGGTGTATTCATCTCACAGAGATAAAAATTTCTTTTGATTGAGAAGTTTTGAATATCTCTTTTGGTTGAATCTGCAAATGGACATTAGGAGTGCTTTGTGGCCAATGGTGGAAAAGGAAATATCTTCACATAAAAACTAGACAGTAGAATTCGGAGAAACTTCTTTGTGATGTGTGTGTTCATTTCACAATGTTGTAATTTTCTTTAGATTGAGCAGTAAGGAAACACTCTTTTTGTAGAATCTGCAAGTGGACGTTTGGAGAACTTTGTGGCCTATGGCAGAAAAGGAAATATCTTCAAATAAAATCTAGACAGAAGCAATCTGAGAAACTTCTTTGTGATGTGAGCATTCATCTCAAAGAGGTAAAGCTTTCTTTTGATTGAGAAGTTTTGAAACTCTCTTTTTGTAGAATATGCAAGTGGACATTTGGAGTGCTTAGAAGCCTATTGTGGAAAAGGAAATATCTTCACATAAAAACCAGGCAGAAGAATACTGAGAAACGCCTTTGTAATGTGAGCGTTCATCTCAGAGTTGAAACTTTCTTTTGGTTGAGCAGTTTGGAAACACTCTTTTTGTAGAATCTGCCAGTGGACATTTGGAGAGCTTTGCGGCCTATGGTAGAAAAGGAAATATCTTCACATAAAATATAGACAGAAGCAATCAGAAACTTCTTTGTGACGTGTGTGTTCATCTCACAGAGATAAAAATTTCTTTTGATTGAGCAGTTTTGAATATCTCTTTTGGTTGAATCTGCAAATGGACATTAGGAGTGCTTTGTGGCCAATGGTGGAAAAGGAAATATCTTCACATAAAACGTATACAGAAGAAATTTCAGAAACTACCTCGTGAGTTGTGCGTTCATCTTACAGAGTTGAAATTTTCTTTTGATTGAGCAGTATGGAAACATTCTTTTTGTAGTATCTGCAAGTGGACATTTGGAGCACTTTGTGGCCTATTGTAGAAAAGGAAATATCTTCATGTAAAATCTAGACAGAAGCCATCTGAGAAAGTTCTTTGTGATGTGGGCATTCATCTCACAGAGTTAAACTTTTTCTTTTGATAGTGCAGATTTGAAACTCACTTTTTGTAGAATGTGCAAGTAGACATTTGGATTACTTTGTGGCCCATGGTACAAAAGGAAATATCTTCACATAAATACTAGACAGAAGCAACCTGAGAAACTTCTTTGTGATGTGTGCATTCATCTCACAGACTTAAACCTTTCTTTTGATAGAGCAGTTTTGAAACTCTCTTTTTGTAGGATCTGCAAGTGGACATTTGGAGTGCTTTTTGGCCTATGTAAGAAAAGGAAATATCTTCACATAAAATCTACACAGAAGCAACCTGAGAAACTTCTTTGTGATGTGTGTGTTCATCTCACAGAGTTGAAACTTTCTTTTGATTGAGAAGTTTGGAAACACTTTTTGTAGAATCTGCAAGTGGACATTTGGAGTGTTTTGCGGCCTATGGTAGAAAAGGAAATATCTTCACATAAAAAGTAGACAGAAGAATTCTGAGAAAGTTCTTTGTGATGTGTGCATTCATCTAACAGAGTTGAAACTTTCTTTTGATTGATCAGTTTGGAAATACTCTTTTTGTAGAAACTGCAATTGGACATTGGGAGTGCTTTGTGGCCTATGGTAGGAAAGCAAGTATCTTCACATAACATCTAGACAGAAGCAATCAGAGAAACTTCTTTGTGATGTGTGCATTCATCTCACAGAGGTAAAACTTTGTTTTGATTGAGCAGTTTTCAAACTCCGTTTTTGTAGAATCTTCAAGTGGACATTTGTAGCGCTTTGAGGCCTATGGTGGAAAAGGAACATAAAAACTAGACAGAGAATTCTGAGAAAATTCTTGTGATGTGTGCATTCATCTCACAGAGTTGAACTTTTCTTTTGATAGAGCTATTTGGAAACACTCTTTTTGTAGAATCTGCAAGTGGATATTGGAGCACTTTGAGGCCTCTGGTAAAAAAGGAAATATCTTCACACAAAATCTAAACAGAAATAATCTGAGAAACTTCTCCATGATGTATGCATTCATCTCACAGTGTTAAACCTTTCTTTTGATAGAGCTGTTTTGAAACTCTTTTTGTAGAATCTGCAAGTGGAGCACCTTGAGTCCTATGGTAGAAAAGGTAATATCTTTACATAAAAACTGGACAGAAAACTTCAGAATCACCTCTTTGTGATGTGTGCATACATCTCACAGAGTAGAACCTTACTTTTGATGGACCAGTTTTGAAATACTGTTTTTGTAGAATCTGCAAGTGGGCATTTCGAGCACCTTGAGGTCTATGGTCGAAAATGAAATATCTTCACATAAAAACTATACAGAAGAATTCTGAGAAACTTCTTTGTGATGCGTGCAGTCATCTCACAGAGTTGAACCTTTATTTTGATTGAGCAGTTTGGAATCACTCTTTTTGTACAATCTGCAAGTGGATATTTGGACCGCTTTGCGGCCTATGGTAGAAAAGGAAATATCTCCACATAAAATCTAGACAGAAGAAATCTGAAAAAAACTTCATTGTGATGTATGCATTCATCTCACAGAGATAAACCTTTCTTTTGATAGAGCAGTTTTGAAAGTCTCTTTTTGTAGAATTTGGAATTGGAGCGCTTTGAGACCTATGGTGGAAAAGGTAATATCTTCATATAAAAACTAGATAGAAGAATTCTGACAAACTTCTTTGTGATGTGTGATTTAATCTCACAGAGTTGAACTTTTCTTTTGATTGAGCAGTTTTGAAATATTCTTTTTGTAGTATCTGCAATTGGGCATTTCGAGCGCCTTGAGGCCTACGGTCGAAAATGAAATATCTTCACATAAAAACTAGACAGAAGAAATCTGAGAAACTTATTTGTGATGTGTGATTTAATCTCACAGAGTTGAAGCTTTCTTTTGATTGAGCAGTTTGGAAACACTCTTTAGTAGAGTCTGCAAGTGGACATTTTGATCGCTTTGCAGCCCATGTTAGAAAAGAAAATATCTTCCCACGAAATCTAGACAGAAGGAATCTGAGAAACTTCTTTCTAATGTGTGCATTCATCTCACGGAGTTGAACCTTTCTTATGATTGAGAAGTTTTGAAACTCTCTTTTTGTAGAATCTGCAAGTGGACATTTGTAGCGTCTTGCGGCTTATGGTAGAAAAGGAAGTATCTTCACATAAAAACTAGACAGAAGATTTCTGAGAAACTTCTTTGTGATGTGTTCATTCATCTCACAGAGTTGAATCTTACATTTAATTGAGCAGTTTTGAAACACTTTTTTTGTGGAATCTGAAAGTGGACATTTGGAAGGCTTTTTGGCCCATTTTAGGAAAGGGCATATCTTCACATAAAATGTAGACAAAAGC
Source organism: Homo sapiens (assembly GCF_000001405.40). NCBI lineage: Eukaryota > Metazoa > Chordata > Mammalia > Primates > Hominidae > Homo > Homo sapiens. Next base: position 28,821,047 of record NC_000020.11, on the reverse strand, counting down.
AGTCTGATAAACTTCTTTGTGATGTGTGCATTCATTTCACAGTGCTAAAACTTTCTTTTGACTGAGCAATTTGGAAACACTCATTTTGTAGAATCTGCAATTGTACATTTGGAACGCTTGGAGGCCTATGGTGGAAAATGAAATATTTTCACATTAAAACTAGACAGAAGAATTCTGAGAAACTTTTTTGTGATGCATGTGTTCATCTCACAGAGTTGAACTATTTTTGATTGAGCAGTTTGAAAACACTCTTTTTGTAGAGTCTGCAAGTTGACACTTGGAGTGCTTTGTGACCTATGTTAGAAAAGTAAATATCTTCACATAAAATCTAGACAGAAACAATCTGAGAAACTTCTTTGTGAAGTGTTCATTCATTTCACAGAG
>NC_000020.11:28790158-28820603 GCF_000001405.40 Homo sapiens | reverse complement strand
TTGAACTTTTCTTTTGATTGAGCAGTTTGGAAATATTCTTTCTGTAGAATCTGCAAGTGGACATTTGGAGTGCTTTGCGGCTTATTTTAGAAAAGGAAATATCTTCCAATAAAATCTAGGCAGAAGCAATCTGAGAAACTTATTTGTGATGTCTGCATTCATGTCACAGAATTAAACCTTTCTTTTGATAGAGCAGTTTTGAAACTCTCTTTTTGTAGAATCTGCAAGTGGACATTTGGAGTGCTTTGAGGCCTATGGTGGAAAAGGAAATATCTTCACATAAAAACTAGACAGAAGAATTCTGACAAACATCTTTGTGAAGTGTGCATTCATCTCACAAAGTAGAACAATTCTTTTTGATTGAGCAGTTTGGAAACACTGTTTTTGTGGAATCTGCAAGTGGACATTTGGAGTGCTTTGTGGCCTATGGAAGAAAAGGAAATATCTTCACATAAAATCTAGACAGAAGCAAACTGAGCAACTTTTTTATGTTGTGTGCATTCATCTTACAGAGTTAAACCTTTCTTTTGATTAAGCAGTTTTGAAACTCTCTTTTTGTAGAATCTGCAAGTGGACATTTGAAGCGCTTTGAGGTCTATGCTGGAAAAAAAAATATGTTCATATAAAAACCAGACAGAAAAGTTCTGACAAACGGCTTTGTGATGTATGTATTCATCCCACTGAGTTGAACCCTACTTTGCATTCAGCAGTTTTGTAATACTCTTTTTGTGGAATCTGCAAGTGGACCTTTGAAGCGCTTTGAGGCCTTTGGTGGATAACAAAATATCTTCATATAATAACTAGACAGATGCATTCTGAGAAACTACTTTGTGATGTGTGTATTCATCCCACTGAGTTGAACCCTACTTTGCATTCAGCAGTTTTGTAATACTCTTTTTGTGGAATCTGCAAGTGGACCTTTGAAGCGCTTTGAGGCCTTTGGTGGATAACAAAATATCTTCATATAATAACTAGACAGATGCATTCTGAGAAACTTCTTTGTGATGTGTGCATTCATCTCAGAGAACTGAAAGTTTCTTTTGATTGAGCAGTTTTGAAACACTCTTTTTGTAGAATCTGCAAGTGGATATTTGAAGCAATTTGAAGCCTATTGTGGAAAAGGAAATATCTTCACATAAAAACTACGCAGAAGCATTCTGAGAACCTTCTTTGTCGTGAGTGCCTTCATCTGCCAGGGTTGATCCTTTCTTTTGATTGAGTACTTTTGAAACACTGCTTTTGTGGGATCTACAAGTGGATACTGGGAGCGTTTTCAGGCTGACTGTGGAAAAGCAAATATCTTCACATAAAAACTACACAGAAGCATTCTGAGAAACTTCTTGGTGATGTGTGCATTCATCTCACAGAGTTGAAATTTTCTTTTGATTGAGCATTTTTGAAACACGCTTTCTGTAGAATCTGCAAGTGGATATTTGGAGTGATTTGAGGCCTATTGTGGAAAATGAAATATCTTCACATAAAAACTACACAGAAGCATTCTGAGAAACTTCTTTGTGATGTGTGCATTCAAATCACGGAGTTGAACCTGTATTTTGATTGAGAAGTTTTGAATCTCTCTTTTTGCAGAATCTACAAGTGGATATTTGGAGAGCTTTGAGGACTAATGTGGAAAAGGAAATATCTTCACATTAAAACTATACAGAAGCATTCTGAGCAACTTATTTGTGATGTGTGCATTCAACTCACGAAGTTGAACCTATCTTTTGATTGAACAGTTTTGAATCTCTCCATTTGTAGAATCTGCAAGTGGATATTTGGAGCGCTATGTGGCCTACAGTGGAAAAGAAAATATCTTCACATAAAAACTACACAGAAGCATTCTGAGGAATTCTTTGTGATGTGTGCATCCATCTGACAGAGTTGAACCTTTTTTTTGATTGAGCAGTTTTGAAACACTCTTTTTGTAGAATCTGCAAGAGGATATTTGCAACGATTTGAGGCCTATTGTGGAAAAGGAGATTTCTTCACATAAAAATTACTCAGAAGCAGGCTGAGAAACTTCTTTGTGATGTGAGCATTCAACTCACAGAGTTGAACCTATCTTCTGATTGAGCAGTTTTGAATGTCCCTTTTTGTAGAATCTGCAAGTGGATATTTGCAGCTCTTTTTGCCCTATGGTGGAATAGGAAATATCTTCAAATAAAACTACACAGAAATATTCATAGAAACTTCTTTGTGATGAGTGCATTCATCACATAGTGTTGAACATTTTTTTGATTGAGCAGTTTTGAAACACTCTTTTTGTAGATTCTGCAAGTGGTCATTTGGAGTGCTTTTAGGCCTCTGGTGGAAAAGGAAACATCCTCACATAGAAACTAGAGAGAAGTATTCTGAGAAACTTATTTGTGATGTGTGTGTTCATCTCACTCAATTGAAGCTTTCTTTTGATTGAGCCGTTTGGAAACACTCTTTTTGTAGAATCTGCGGTTGGACATTTGTTGCACTTTGAGGCTTTCGGTAGAAAAGGAAATACCTTCATATAAAATCTAGAGAGAAGCAATCTGAGAAACTTCTTTGTGATGTGTGCATTCATCCCACAGTGTTAAACCTTTCTTTTGATGGAGCAGTTTTGAAACTTTATTTTTGTAGAATCTGCAAATGGACATTTGGAGCAATTTGAGACCTAAGGTGGAAAAGGAAATATATTCACATAAAAACTAGACAGAAGAATTCTGTGACACTTGATCAGGACGTCTGGTTCATCTTACAGAGTTGAATCTTTCTTTTGATTGAGCAGTTTGGAAACACTGTTTTTGTAGAATCTTCAAGTGGACATTCAGAGCGCTTTGTGTCCTATGGTAGAAAAGGAAATATCTTCATATAAAAAATATATAGAAGCATTCTGAGAAACTTGTTTGTGATGTGTGCGTTTGTCTCACATATTTGAACCTTTCTTTGGATTGAGCACTTTAGAAACACCCTTTTTGTAGAATCTGCAGGTGAACATTTGGAGCGCTTTATGGCCTATGGTAGAAAAGGAAATATCTTCACATAAAATATAGACAGAAGCAATCTGAGAAACTTCTTTGTGATGTGTGCATTCATCTGACAGAGTGAACCCTTTCTTTTGATTGAGCAGTCTTTTTGTACAATCTGCAAGTGGACATTTGGGACGCTTTTCTGCCTATGGTAAAAAAGGAAACATCTTCACTTAAAGTCTAGACAGAAGCAATCTGAGAAAATACTTTGTGCTATGTGCATTCATCTCACAGAGTTAAACCTATTTTTTAATAGGGCAGTTTTGAAACTCTCTTTTTGTAGAATGTGCAAGTGGACACTTGGAGCGGTTTGAAGCCTATGGTGGAGAAGGAAATATCTTCACATAAAAACTAGACAGAAGAATTCTGAGAAACTTCAGTGTGATGTGTGCATTCATCTCACAGAATTGAACCCTTCTTTTGATTGAGCAGTTTGGAAACACTCTTTTTTGTAGAATCTGCAAGTGGACATTTGGAACGCTTTGCTTCCTCTGGTGGAAAAGGAAATATCTTCACCTAAAATGTAGACAGAAGCAATCTGAGAAACTTCTTTGTGATGTATGCATGCATCTTACAAAATTAAACCTTTATTTAATTGAGCAGTTTTGAATCTCTCTTTTTGTAGAGTCTGCAAGTGGACATTTGGAACGCTTTGAAGCCTATGGCGGAAAACAAAATATGTTTATATAAAAACCAGACAGAAGAATTTTGTGGATCTACATTGTGATGTGTGCATTCTTCTCACGGAGCTGAACTTTTCTTTTGATTGAGCAGTTTGGAAACACTCTTTTTGCAGAATCTGCAAGTGGCTATTTGGTGCACTTTGCTGCCTTTGGTAGAAAAAGAAATATCTTCACATAAAATCTAGACAGAAGCAATCTTAGAAACTTCTTAGTGATGTGTGCATTCATCTCACATAGTTTAACCTTTCCTTTGATTGAACAGTTTGGAAAGACTCTTAGTAGAATCTGCAAGAGGACATTTCGTGCTCTCTGTGGACTATGGTAGACAAGGAAATATTGTCACATAAAATCTAGACAGAAGCAATCTGAGAAACTTCTTTGTGATGTGAGCATTCATCTTACAGAGTTAAACCTTTGCTTTGATTGAGCACTTTTGAAACTCTCTTTTTGTAGAGTCTGCAAGTGGACATTTGGAGTGCTTTGAGGACAATTGTGGAAAAGGAAATATCTTCACATAAAAACTAGACAGAAGAACTCTGAGAAACATCTTTGTGTTGTGTGCGTTCATCTCACAGAAGTGAATGTTTCTTTTGATTGAGCAGTTTGGAAACACTCTTTTTGTAGAATCTGCAAGTGGTCATTTGGAGGACTTTGTGGCCTAAGTTAGAAAAGGAAATATTTTCACATAAAATCTAGAAAGAAACAATCTGAGATACTTCTTTATGATGTGTGCATTCATCTCACAGAGTTAAAACATTCTTTTGTCGAGTAGTTTTGAAACCCTCCTTTAGTAGATGTTGCAAGTGGACATTTGGAGCACTTTGATGCCTATGGTGGAAAAGGAAATATCTTCACATAAATACTAGGTAGGAACATTCTGAAAAACTTCTTTGCCATGTGTTTTTTCATCTCCTAGAGTTGAACCTTTCTTTTGAAAGACGAGTTTTGAAATATGCTTTTTGTAGAACCTGCAAGTGGACATTTCAAGCGCCTTGAGCCCTATGGTGGAAAAGGAAATATTTTCACATGAAAACTAGACAGAAGAATTATGAGAAATTTATTTGTGAAGCATGCATTCATCTTACAGAATTGAACATTTCTTTTGATTAAGTAGTTTGGAAACACTCTTTTTGTAGAATCTGCAAGAGGGCATTTGGAGTGCTTTGCGGCCTATGGTAGAAAAGGAAATATCTTCACATAAAATCTAGACAGAAGCCATCTGAGAAACTTTTTTGTGATGTGTGCATTAATCTCACAGAGTTAACGCTTTCTTTTGATTGAACAGTTTTGCAAATCTCTTTTTGAAGAATCTGCAAGTGGATATTGGAGCGCTTTGCAGCCTATGGTAGAAAAGGAAATATCTTCACATAAAATCTAGACAGAAGTAATCTGAGAAACTTCTTTTTTATGGGTGCATTCATCTCACAGAGTTAACACTTCCTTTTGATTGAGCAGTTTTGAAACTCTCTTTTTGTAGAATCTGCAAGTGGACATTTGGAGCGCTTTGAGGCCTATGGTGGAAAATGAAATATCTTCACATTAAAAACTAGGCAGAAAAATTCTGAGAAATGTCTTTGTGTTGTGTGCATTCATCTCACAGAGTTGAACCTTTCTTTTGATTGAGCAGTATGGAAACATTCTTTTTGTAAAATCTGAAACTGGACATTTGCAGCGCTTTGCGGCCTATGGCAGAAAAGGAAATATCTTCACATAAAATCTAGAGAGAAAGAATCTGAGAAACTTCTTTGTGATGTGTGCATTCATCTCTCAGAGTTAAACCTTTCTTTTTATTGAGCAGTTTGAAACTCTTTTTTTGTAGAATCTGCATGGGGACTACTGGAGCCCTTTGAGCCCTATGGTGCAAAAGGAAATATCTACACATAAAAACTAGACAGAAGAATTCTGAGAAACTTATTTGTGATGCGTGCATTCCTCTCACAGAGTTGAACCTTTCTTTTGATTGAGCATTTTGGAAACACTCTTTTTGTAGAACCTGCAAGTGGACATTTGGAGTGCTTTAGGGCTATGGTAGAAAAGGAAATATGTTCAAATTAAATCTTTACAGGAGCAATCTGATAAACTTCTTTGTTATGTGTGCATTCATCTCACAGAGTTAAAACTTACTTTTGATTGAGCAATTTTGAAACTCTCTTTTTGTAGAATCTGCAAGTGGACATTTTCAGAGCTTTGAGGCCTATGGTGGAAAAGGAAATATCTTCCCATAAAAGCTAGATAGAAGAATTTTGAGAAACTTCTTTGTGATTTGTACTTTCATCTCACAGAGTTGAAACTTTCTTTTGATTGAGTAGTTTGGAAACAGTCTTTTTGTAGGATCTGCAAGTTGACATTTGGAGCACTTTGAGGCCTACGGTGGTATAGGAAATATCTTCACAAAAAACTAGACAGAAGAATTCTGAGAAAATATTTTGTGATGGGTGTGTTCATCACACAGAGTTGAACTTTCTTTTGATTGAGCAGTTTGGAAGCACTCTTTTTGGAATCTGCAAGTGGGAATTTGGAGTGCTTTGAGGCCTACAGTAGAAATGAAATATCTTCAGATAAAATCTAGACAGAAGCAATCTCAGAAACTTATTTGTGATATGTGCATTCATCTCACAGAGTTAAACCTGTCTTTTGATTGAGCAGTTTTGAAAATCTCTTTTTTATAGAATCTACAATGGACATTTGGAGTGCTTTGAAGGCTTTGGTGGAAAAGGAAATATCTTCATATAAAAATTAGATAAAACCATTCTGAGGAACTTCTTTGTGATGTGTGCATTCATCTCCCAGATTTGACACTTCCTTTTAATGGACCAGTTTTGAAATAGTCTTTTTGTGGAATCTGCAAGTGGATATTTTGAGCTCCTTGAGGCCTGTGGTGGAAAATGAAATATCTTCACATACAAACTAGACAGAAGAATTCTGAGAAACTTCTTTGGGATGTGTGCATTCACCTCACAGAATTGAACCTTTCTTTTGATTGAGCAGTTTGGAAACACTGTTTTTGAAGAATCTTCAAGTGGACATTTGGAGCACTTTGAGGCCTATGGTAGAAAAGGAAATATCTTCACATAAAATGTAGACAGAAGGAATCTGAGAAACTTCTTTGGATGTGTGCATTCATCTCACAGAGTTAAAACTCTCTTTTGATTGGGCAGTTTTGAAACTCTCTTTTTGTATAATCTAGAATTGGACATTTGGAGTGCTTTCTGTCCTGTGATGGAAAAGGAAATATTTTCACATAAAAACTAGACAGAAGAATTCTGTGACACTTCTTTTTGATATGTGCTTTCATCTCACAGAGCTGAACATTTTTTGTGATTGAACATTTTGGAAACACTTTCTATAGAATCTGTAACTAGGGATTTGGAGCGCTTTGCGGCCTATGGTAGAAAAGGAAATGTCTTCACATAAAATCTGGATAGAGGCAATCTGAGAAAATACTTTGTGGTGTGTGCATTCATATCACAGAGATAAACTTTCTTTTGGTTGAGCAGTTTTGAAACTCTCTTTTTGTAGATCTGCAATTGGACATTTGTAGCACTCTTAGGTCTGTGGTGGAAAAGAAAATATCTTCACATAAAAACTAGACAAAATTATTCTGAGAAACTTCTTTGTGATGTGTGCGTTCATCTCACATACCTGAACCTTTCTTTTGATCGAGCAGTTTGGAAGCACACTTTTTGTAGAATCTGCAGGTGGGCATCTGGAGCGCTTTGAGGTCTATGGTAGAAAGGGAAATATCTTCACGTAAAATCTAGACAGAAGCAATCTGAGAAACTTCTTTGTGATGTGTGCATTCATCTCACAAACTTAAACGTTTGTTTTGACTCAGAAGTTTTGAAACTCTCTTTTTGTAGAATCTGCAATTGGACATTTGGAGCCCTTTGAGGCCTATGGTCTAAAAAGAAATGTCTTCACATAAAAACTAGATAGAAGAATTCAGAGAAACTTCTTCATGATGTGTGCACTCATCTCACAGAGTTGAACCTTTCTTTTGATTAAGCAGTTTGGAAACACCCTTTTTGTAGACTCTGCATGTGGACATTGCAGTGCTTTGCGGCCTCTGGTAGAAACGGAAATATCTTCACATAAAATCTAGAAAGAAGCAATCTGATAAAATTCATTGTGATGTCTGCATTCATCTGAGAGTTAACCCTTTCTTTTGATTGAGCAGTTTTGAAACTTTCTTTTGTAGAATCTGCAAGTGGACATTTGGAGGGATTTGAGGGCAATGGTGGAAAAGGAAATGTGTTCACATAAAAACTAGATAGAAGCATTCTGAGAAACTTATTTGTTATGAGTGCATTTATCTCCCAGAGTTGAACCTTTCTTTGGATGGACCAATTTTGAAATATAATTTTTGTGTAATCTGCAAGTGGACATTTCGAGCACCTTGAAACTTATACTGGAAAATGAAATATCTTCACATAAATGCTAGACAGAAGAATTCTGAGAAACTTTTTTGTGATGTGTGCATTCATCTCACCGAGTTAAACCTTTCTTTTGATTGAGCAGTTTGGAAACACTCTTTTTGAAGAATCTCCAAGTGGACATTTGGAGCGCTATGCAGTCAGTGGTAGGAAAGAAAATATCTTTACATAAAATCTAGATGGATGCAATCTGAGAAAGTTCTTTGTGATGTGTGCATTTATTTCACAGAGTTAAACCTTTCTTTTGTTTGAGCAGTTTTGAACCTCTCTTTTTGTAGAATTTGCACGTGGACATTTGGAGCTATTTGTGGCCTATGGTAGAAAAGCAAATATCTTTATATAAAAACTAGATAGAAGATTTCTGAGAAACTTCTTTGTGATGTGTTCATTCATCTCACAGAGTTTAAACTTTCTTTTGGTTGAGCAGTTTGGAAACACTCATTTTGTACAATCTGCAAGTGGACATTTGGACCGCTTTGCAGTGTATGGTTGAAAAGGAAATATGTTCACATAAAATCTAGACAGAAGCAATCTGGAAAACTTCTTTGTAATGTATACATTCATTTCACAGACTGAAATGCTTCTTTTGATAGAGCAGTTTTGAAACTCTCTTTTTGTAGAATCTGCACATGTACATTTGGAGCACTTTGAGGCCTATGGTGGAAAAAGTAATATCTTCACATAAAAACTAGACGGAAGAATTCTGAGAAACTTCTTTGTGGTGTGTGCATTCATCTCACAGTTTTGAACCTTTGTTTTGATTGAACAGTTTGGAATCAGTCTTTTTGTAGAATCTGCAATTGGACATTTGGAGCGCTTTGTGGTATATGGTATAAAAGGAAATATCTTCACATAAAATCTAGACAGAAGTAATCTGAGAAACTTCTTTATGTTGTGTACATTCATCTCACTGTCTTTAACCTTTCTTCTGATTGAGCAGTTTTTAAACTCTCTTTTTGTGGAATCTGCAAGTCAATATTTGGAGCTCTTTGATGCTTATGGTGGAAAAGGAAATATCTTCACATAAAAACTATACAGAAGAATTCTGAGAAACTTTTTTGTGATGTGTGCGTTCATCTCACAGAGTTGAACCTTTCGTTTGATTGAGCAATTTGTAAACACACTTTTGGTAGAATCTGCAAGTGGACTTTTGGAGCACTTTGCAGCCTATGGTAGAAAAGGATATGTATTCACATAAAAACTAGACAGAAGAATTCCGACAAACTTCTTTGTGATGTGTGCATTCGTTTCACAGAGTTGAACCTTTCTTTTGATTGAGCAGTTTGGAAACACACTTAATGTAGAATCTTCAAGTGCACATTTGGAGCGCTTTGTGGCCTATGGTACAAAAGGAAGTATTTTCACATGAACCCTAGACAGAAGCAGCCTCAGAAACTTCTTTGTGATGTGTGCATTCATCTCACAGAGTTAAAACTTCCTTTTCATTGGGCAGTTTAGAAACTCCCTTTTGTAGAATCTGCAAGTGTACATTTGTAGCGCTTTGAAGCCTGTGATGGAAAAGGAAATAATTTCCCACAAAAACTAGATGGAAGAATTCCGAGAACTTCTTTGTAGTGTGTGCATTCATCTCACAGATTTGAACATTTTTTTGATTGATAAGTTTGGAATCACTCTTTTTGTAAAATATGCAAGTGGACATTTGGAGCGCTTTGTGGCCTGTGGTAGAAAAGGTAACATCTTCACATGAAATATAGACAGAAGCAATATGAGAAACTATTTTGTGATGTGTGAATTCATCTCACAGAGTTAAACCTTTCTTCTGATTGAGCAGTTTTGTATCTCTCTTTTGCTGGAATCTGCAAGTGGACATTTGGCACGCTTTGTTGCGTATGGTGGAAAAGGAAATATCTTCGCAAAAAAATTAGACAGAAGAATTGTGAGAAACTTCTTTGTGATAGGTGCGTTCATCTCACAGAGTTGAACCTTTTTTTTTGATTGAGCAGTTTGAAAACACTCTTTTTGTAGAATCTGCTAGTGGACATTTGGAGCGCTTTGCTGCCTATGGTAGAAAAGGAAATATCTTCTCATAAAATCTAGACAGAAGCAATCTGAGAAACTTCTTTGTGATGTGTGCATTCACCTCACAAAATTAAACCTTCCTTTTGGTTGAGCAATTTTGAAACTCTATTAATGTAGAATCTGCAATTAGACATTTGCAGCATTTTGAGGCCTATGGTGGAACAGGAAATATCTTCACATAAAAACAAGACAGAAGAATTCTGAAAAATTTCTTTGTGATGTGTGCTTCACCTCACTGATTTGAAACTTTCTTTTGATTGAGCAGTTTGGAAACACTTTTTTTAGAATCTGCAGGAGAAATTTGGACAGTTTGTGGCCTGTAGTAGAAAAGAAAATATCTTCTCATAAAATCTAGACAGAAGCAATCTGAGAAACTTCTTTGTGTTGTGTGCCTTCATGTCACACAGTTTAACCTTTCTTTTGATTGAGCAGTTTTTAAACTCTCTTTTTGTAGAATTTGCAAGTGGACATTTGGAGCTATTTGTGGCCTATGGTAGAAAAGCAAATATCTTTATATAAAAAATAGATAGAAGATTTCTGAGAAACTTCTTTGTGATGTGTTCATTCATCTCACAGAGTTTAAACTTTCTTTTGGTTGAGCAGTTTGGAAACACTCATTTTGTACAATCTGCAAGTGGACATTTGTAGCACTTTGAGGCCTATGGTGGAAAAGGAACATAAAAACTAAACAGAAGAATTCTGAGAAACTTTTTTGTGATGTGTGCATTCATCTCACAGAGTTGAACGTTTCTTTTGATAAAGCTGTTTGGAAAAACTCTTTTTGTTGAATCTGCAAGTGGATATGTGGAGCACTTTGCAGCCTCTAATAGAAAAGAAAATATCTTCAGATAAAATCTAGACAGAAGCAATCTGAGAAACTTCTTTGTGATGTGTGTATTCATCTCCCAGAGTTAAACCTTTCTTTTTATTGAGCAGTTTTGAAACTCTGTTTTTGTAAAATCTGCAAGTGGGCATTTGGATCGCTTTGAGGCCTATGCTGGAAAAGGTAATATCTTCAAATAAAAACTAGACAGGAGAATTCTGACAGACTTCTTTGTGATGTGTGTGTTCATCTCACAGAGTTGAACCTTTCTTTAGATTGAGCAGTTTGAAAACCCTCTTTTTGTAGAATATGCAAGTGGACATTTGGAGTGCTTTGCGGCCTATCACAGGAAAGGAAATATCTTCACATAAAATCTAGACACAAGGAATCTGATAAACTGCATTGTGATGTATGCATTCATCTCACAGATTTAAAGCTTTCTTTTTTATAGAACTGTTTTCAAACTCTTTTTTTGTAGAATCTGCAATTGGAGTGCTTTGCAGCCTATGGTAGAAAAGGAAATATCTTCACATAAAATCAAGAAAGAAGCAATGTGAGAAACTTCTTTGTGATGTGTACATTAGTCTTACAGAATTAAACCTTTCTGTTGATTGAGCAGTTTTGAAACTTTCTATTTGTAGAATTTGCAAAGGGACATTTGAAGACCTTTGATTCCTATGGAAAAAAAGGAAGTATCTTCACATAAAAACTAGACAGAAGAATTCTGAGAAACTTCTTTATGATGTGTGCGTTCATCTCACAGAGTTGAACATCTCATTTGATTCAGCATTTTGGAAACATTCTTTTCGTGGAGTCTTCAAGTGGACATTTGTAGTGCTTTGAGTCCTATGGTGTAAAAGTAAATATCTTCACATATAAACTAGACAGAAGAATTCTGAGACACTTCTTTGTGATGTGTGCATTCATTCCAGAGAGTTGAAACTTTAGTTTGATTGAGCAGTTTGGAAACTCTCTTTTTGTAGATTCTACAATTGGACATTTGGAGTGTTTTGAGGCCTATGGTGGAAAAGGAAATATCTTCAGTTTAAAACTACACAGAAGAATTATGACAAACTTCTCTGTGATGTGTGTGTTCACCTCACGGAGTTGTACTTCTCTTTTGATTGAGCAGTTTGGAAACACCCTTTTTGTAGAATCTGCACGTGCACATTTGGAGCACTTTATGGCCATTGGTAGAATAGGAAATATCTTCACATAAAATCCAGACAGAAGGAATCTGAAAAACTTCTTTATGATGTGTACATTCATCTCACAGAGTTAAACCTTTCTTTTGATTGAGCAGTTTTGTAACTCTTTTTGCAGAATCTGCAACTGGACATTTGGAGCGCTTTGAAGACTATGGCGGAAAAGGGAATATCTTCACATAGAAACTAGACAGAATTCTGAGAAACTTCTTTGAGATGTGTGCGTTCATCTTACAGTGTAGAACCTTTATTTTGATTGAGCAGTTTGGAAACATTATTTTTGTAGAATATGCAAGTGGACATTTGGAGTGCTTTGCGGCCTATGGTAGAAAAGGAAATGTTTTCACATAAAATCTAGACAGAAGCAATCTGAGAAACTTCTTTGTGATGTGTGCATTCATCTCACAGAGTTTAAACATTCTTTTGTTTAAGCAGTTTTGAAACTCTCTTTTTGTAGAATTTGCAAGTGGACATTTGGAGTGCTTTCAGGCCTATGGTGGAAAAGGAAATATCTTCACATAAAAACTAGACAGAAAACTCAGAGAAACACTTTGTGATGCGTTCGTTCATCTCACGGAGTTGAACTTTTCTTTTGATTCAGCAGTTTGGAAACATTCTTTGTGTAGAATCTGCAAGTGGATATTTGGAGTGCTTTGTGGCCTATTTTAGAAGAGGAAATATCTTCATATAAAATCTAGGCAGAAGCAATCTGAGAAAATTCTTTGTGATGTGTGCATTCATGTCACAGAGTTAAACATTTCTTTTGATAGAGCAGTTTTGAAACACTCTTTGTAGAATCTGCAAGTGGGTATTTGGAGCACTTTGAGGCCTATTGTGGAAACGGAAATATCTTCATATAAAAACTACACAGAAGCATTCTGAGAAACTTCGTTGTGATGAGTACATTCAACTCACAGTGTTGAACGTATCTTTTGATTGAGAAGTTTTTAATCTCTCTTTCTGTAGAATCTGCAAGTGGATATTTGGAGCCCTTTGTGCCCTAAGGTGGAAAAGGAAATATCTTCAAATACAAACTACACAGAAGGATTCAGAGAAACTTCTTTGTGATGAGTGCATTCATCACACAGATTTGAACTTTTCTTTTGATTGAGCAGTTTTGAAACACTCTTTTTGTAGAATCTGGAAGTGGATATTTGGAGGGCTTTGAGGCCTCTTTTGGAAAAGGAAATATCTTCACATAAAAACTACACAGAAGCATTCTCAGCAACTTCTTCGTGAGGCGTTCATGCAACTCACGGACTCAAACCTATGTTTTGATTGATCAGTTTTGAATCTCTCCTTTTGAAGTATGTGCAAGTGGCTATTGGGAGACCCTTGAGGCCAATTGCGGAAAAGGAAACATCTTCACATAAAAACTACACAGAAGCATTGTGAGAAACTTCTTTGTGATATGTGCATTCAACTCACGGAATCGAACCTATATTTGATGGTGCAGTTCTGAATCTCTCTTTCTGCAGAATCTGCAAGTGGATATTTAGAGAGCTTTGAGGCCTATTGTGGAAAAGGAAATATTTTCACATAACAATTACACAGAAGCATTCTGAGAAACTTTTTTTGATGTGTGCATTCAACTCAGAGTTCAACGTATCTTTTGATTGAACAGTTTTGAGTCACTCTTTTTGTAGAATCTGCAAGTTTATATTTGGTGCGCTTTTAGGTCTATTGTGGAAAAGGAAATATCTTCATATAAAAACTACACAGAAGCATTCTGAGAAACTTCTTCGTTATGAGTGCATTCATCACACAGAGTTGAACATTTCCTTTTGATTGAACAGTTTTGTAACACTCTTTATGTAGAAACTGCAAGTTGATATTTGGGGGACTTTGAGGACTATTTTGTAAAAGGAAATATCTTCACATCAAAACTACACAGATGCATTCTGAGAAACTTCTTTGTGATGTGTACATTCAACTCACAGTGTTGAAACTATCTTTTGATAGAGCAGTTTTGAAAAACTCTTTTTGTAGAATCTGCAAGTGGATATTTGGACAGCTTTGAGGCCTATTGCAGAAAAGGAAATATCTTCACGTAAAAACTACACGTAGGCATTCTGAGAAACTTCTTTATGATGTGTACATTCATCACACAGATTTTAACATTTTTTTGATTGAGCAGATTTGAAACGCTCTTTTTGTAGAATCTGCAGGTGGATATTTGGAGGGCTTTGAGGCCTATTGTGGAAAAGGAAATATCTTCACATAAAGACTACACAGAAGCATTCTGAGAAACATCTTTGTGATATGTGCATTCAACTCACAGAGTTGAACCAATCTCTTGATGGATCAGGTTTGAATCTTTTCGTAGAATCTTCAACCGGATATTGAGAGACCTTATCGGCCTATGGTGGAAAATGAAATGTATTTAAATAAACTCTACACGGAGGAATTGTGAGAAATTTCTTTGAGATGTGTGAACTCATCTCAGAGTTGAAATTTTCTTTTGATTGAGCAGTTTTGAAATGCTGTTTTCGTAGAATCTGCAAGTAGATATTTGGAGCGCTTTGTGGCCTATTGTGGAAAACAAAATATCTTCACACAAAAACTACACAGAAGCATTCTGAGAAACTACTTTGTGATGTGTGCATTCATCTCACAGTGTTGAAATTTTCTTTTGATTGGGCAGTTTTGAAACGCTGTTTTCATAGAATCTGCAAGTGGATATTCGGAGTGCTTTGAGGCCTACTGTGGAAAAACAAATATCTTCACGTAAGAACTACACTGAGGCATTCTGAGAAACGTCTTCGTGATGTGTGCATTCAACTCACATAGTTGAACCTATCTTTTCATTGAGCAGTATTGAATCTCTCTTCGTAGAATCTGCAACTGAATATTTGGTGCCCTTTGTGGCCTATGAATAAAAAGGAAATATCTTCAAAGAAAAGGTACACAGAAGCATTCAGAGAAACTTCTTCCTGATCTGTGCATTCATCTCACAGAGTTGAACCTATGTTTTGATTGAGCAGTTTTGAAACTCTCTCTTTGTAGAATCTGTAAGTGGATACTTGGAGCATTATGAGGTTTACTGTGGAAAAGGAAATATCTTCACATAAAAACTACACAGAAGCTTTCTGGGAAACTTCCCTGTGATATGTCCATTCCTCTCACAGAGTTGAACATTTCTTTTGATTGAGCAGTTTTGAAACAGTGTTTTTGTAGTGTCTGCAAGTGGATATTTGGAGCAATTGAGGCCTACTCTGAAAAAGAAAATATCTTCACATAAAAACTACACAGAGGCATTCTGAGAAACTTCTTTGAGATGTGTGCATTCATCTCACAGAGTTGAACATTTCTTTTGATTGAGCAGTTTTGAAACAGTCTTTTTATAGAGTCTGCAAATGGATATTTGGAGTGCTTTGAGGCCTATTGTGGAAAAGGAAATATCTTCACATAAAAACTGCACAGAGGCATTCTGAGAAACTACTTTGTGATCTGCATTCAACTCACACAGTTGAACCTATCTTTTGATTGAGCAGTTTTGAATCTCTCTTTTTTTAGTATCTGAAAGTGGATATTTGGAGCCCTTGCGGCCCATGGGGTAAAAGGAAATATCTTCAAATATAAACTACACAGAAGAATTCTGGGAAACTTCAAAGATGTGTACATTCATCTCACGGTGTTGAACTTATCTTATGAATGAGCAGTTTTGTTACACTCTCTTTCTAGAATCTACAAGTGGATTCTTGGAGAGCTTTGATGCCTTTTGTCGAAAAGGAAATATCTTCACATAAAAACTACACAGAAACACTCTGAGAAACTTCTTTATAATATGTGAATTCATCTCACAGAGTCGAAACTTTCTTTTGACTGAGTAATTTTGAAACACTGTTTTTGTAGAATCAGCAAGTGGATATTTGGAGCACTTTCAGATCTACTGTGGAAAAGAAAATGTCTTCACAAAAAAACTACACAGAGCCATTGTGAGAAACTAATATGTGATGAGTGTATTCATCACACAGAGTTGATCCTATCTTATGATTGGGCATTTATTGAAACACCGTTTTTGTAGTTTTTGTAGAATCTGCTAGTGGATATTTGGAGCGCTTTGTGGCTTATTGTGGAAAAGGATATAACTTCACATAAAAACTACACAGAAGCATTCTTTGAAACTTCTCTGTAATGCATGCCTTCAACACACAGAGTTGAACATATGTTTTGATTGAGCAGTTTTGAATCTCTGTTTTTGTAGAATCTGCAAGTCAGTATTTTGAACCCTTTGCAGCCTATCGTGGAAAACGAAATATCTTCATATAAAAACTACACCAAAGAATTCTGAGAAACTTCTTTCTGATGTGTGCATTGAATTCAAAGAGTTGAAGCTATCTTTTGATTTAGCAGTTTTGAATCACTCTTTTTGCAGAATCTGCCAGTGGATATTTGGAGCCTTTTGCGGGCTATGGAGGAAAAGGAAATATCTTAAAATAAAACAGAGGCATTCTGAGAAACTTCTTTGTGAGGTGTTCCTTCATCTCACAAAGTTTAAAATTTCTTTTGATTGGGCAGTTTTGAAACACTCTTTCTGTACAATCTGCAATTGGATATTTGGAGCACTTTGATGCATATTGTGGAAAAAGAAATATCTTCACATAAAAAGTACAAAAAAGATTTCTGAGAATCTTCTTTCTGATGTGTGCATACGATTCACAGGGTTGAACTTATCTTATTATTGATCAGTTTTGAATCTCTCTTTTTATAGAATCTGCAAGCGGATATTTGGAGCCCTTTGCAGCCTAAGGTGGAAAAGGAAATATCTTCAATGAAAACTACACAGAAGCATTCTGAGAAACTTCTTTGTGATGTGTGCTTTCATCTCACAATGTTGAAACTATCTTATGATTGAGCAGTTTTGAAACACTCTTTTTGTAGAAAGTGCAAGTGTGTATTTGGAGCCCATGTGGCCTATTGTGAAAAAGAAAATACCTCCATATAAAAACTACACAGAAGCATTCTGAGAAACTACTTTGTGATATGTGCATTAATCCCACAGAGGTGAACCTATCTTTTCATTGAGCAGTTTTGATTCCCTCTTTTTGCAGGATCTGCAAGTGGACATTTGGAACCCTTTGCAGCCTATGGAGGAAAAGGAAATATCTTCAAATTAAAACTACCCAGAAGCATTCTGAGGAACTCCTTTGCTATGTGTCCATTCAACTCACATAGTTGAACCTATTTTATGATTCAGCAGTTTTGAAACACTGTTTTTGTAGTATCTTCAAGTGGATATTTGGAGCGCTTTGAGGCCTACTGTGGAAAAGCAAATATCTTCACATAAAAACTTCACAGAAGCATTCTGAGAAAAATCTTTGTGCTGTCTGCATTCATCTCACACAGTTGAACCTGTCTTATGATTGAGCAGTATTGAAACAATCTTTTTGTAGAATCTGCAAGTGGATATTTGGGGGCTTTTGAGGCCTATTGTGGAAAAGGAAATATCTTCACATAAAAACTACACAAAAGCATTCTGAGAAACTTCTTTGTGATGTGTGCATTCATCTCACAGGGTTGAACCTATTTTATGATTGAGCAGTTTTGAAACACTTTTTTGTAGAAACAGCAGGTGGATATTTGGAGCTCATTGACGTCCACTCTTTAAAAGAAAATATCTTCACTTAAAGACCACACAGAAGCATTCTGAGAAACTTCTTTTTGATGTGTGCATTCATCTCACAGATGTGAATCAATCTTTTGATGAGCAGTTTTGAAACACTCTTTTTGTAGAATCTGCATTTAGATATTTGGAGAACTTTGATGCATATTGTGGAAAAGCAAATATATTCAAATAAAAACTACACAGTAGCATTGTGATAAACTTCTTTGTGAACTGTGAATTCCACTCACAGAGTTTAACATATGTTTTGTTTGAGCAGTTTTGAATCTCTCTTTTTGTAGAATCTGAAAGTGGATATTTGGAGCACTTTGAGGCCTATTGTGGAAAAGGGAATTTCTTCGCATAAAAATTTCACAGAAGCATTCTGAGAGACTACTTTGTGATGAGTGCATTCGTCACACAGGATGAAACTGTCTTTTGATTGAGCAGTTTTGAAACACACTTTTTGTAGAATCTGCAAGTGGATATTTGGAGGGCTTTGAGGCCTGTTTTGAAAAAGGAAATATCTTCACGTAAAAACTACACAGAAGCATTCTGAGAAAATTCTTTGTGATGTGTACATTCAACTCACAGAGTTGAACCTATTTTTTGATTGAGCAGTTTTGAATCTCTCTTTTTGTAGATTCTGCAATAGGATATTTGGATTCCTTTGCGGCCTATGGTGGAAATGGAAATATCTTCAAAAAAAACTACACAGAAGCAGTCTGAGAAACTTCTTTGTGATGTGTGCGTTCATCTCACAGAGTTGAATCTCTCTTTGGATTGAGCAGTTTTGAAGCTCTCTTTTTTTAGAATCTGCAAGTGGTTATTTGGAGCACTTTGAGGCTTGTGGTCTAAAAGAAAATATCTTCACATAAAAACTACACAGAAGCATTCTGAGAAGCGTCTTTGTGTTGTGTGCTTTCATTTTACCGAGTTGAAACTTTCTTTTGATTGAGCAGTTATGAAATACAGTTTTTGCAGAATCTGCAAGTGGATATTAAGCCTACTCAGGAAAAGCAAATATCTTCACATAAAAACTACACAGAAGCATTCTGAGAAACTTCTTTTTGATGTGTGCATTCATCTCAAGGAGTTGAACTTTCTTTTGATTGAGCAGTTTTGTAACACTCTTTGTAGAATCTGCAAGAGGATATTTGGAGAGCATTGAGGCCTACAGTGGAATAGGAAATATCTTCACATAAAAACTACACATAAGAATTCTGAGAAACTTCTGTTTGATGTGTGTATTCAACTCACAGAGTTGAACCTTTCTTTTGATTGAGTAGTTTTGAAACACTGTATTTGTAGAATATGCAAGTGGATATTTGGAGAGCTTTGAGGCCAACAGTTGAACAACAAATATATTCACATTAAAACTACACAGGAGCATTCTGAGAAACTTCTTTGTGATGTGTGCAATTATCTCACATAGTTGAACCTTTTTTTTGTTTGAGCAGTTTTGAAACACTCTCTTTGTAGCATCTGCAAGTGGATATTTGGACTGTTTTGAGGCCTATTTTGGAAAACGAAATATCTTCACATAAAAACTACACAGAATCATTCTGAGAAACTTCTTTGGATATGTGCATTCATCTCACGGAGTGGAAACTTTTTTGGATTGAACAGTTTTGAAACACTGTTTTTGCATAATCTGCAAGTGGATATTTGAAACGCTTTGAGGCCTATTGTGGAAAATGAAATATCTTCACATAAAAACTACACAGAAGCATTCTGAGAAACTACCTTGTGATGTGTGCATTCAACTCACAGATGTGAATCTATCTTTTGATGAGCAGTTCTGAAACTCTCTTTTGTAGTATCTGCAGGTGTATATTTGGAGCCTTTGAGGCCTATGGTGGAAAAGGAAATGCCTTCACAGGAAAACTAGAAAGAAGTATTCTGAGAAACTCCTTTGTGATATGTGCATTGAACTCACAGAGTTGAACCTATCTTTTGATTGAGCCACTTTGAAACTCTCTTTTTATAGTATCTGCAAGTGGATATTTGGAGCCTTTTGTGGCCTATTGTGAAAAAGGAAATGGCTTCACATAAAAAACACAAAGAATTTTTCTGAGAAACTTCTTTGTGATGTGTGCATTCATCTCACAGAGATGAACCTTTCTTTTCATTGAGCAGTTTTGAAACAATCTTTTTGAAGTATCTGTAAGTGAATATTTGAAGCACCTTGAGGCCTGTTGTGTTAAAGGAAATATCTTCACATAAAAACTACACAGAAGCTTTCTGAGAAACTTCTCTGTGATGCATGCATTCAACTCATGGAGTTGAACCTGTCTTTTCATTGAACAATTTTGAAACTCTCTTTTTGTAGAATCTGCAAGTGGATATTTAGAGCCATTTGCAGCGTATGGTGGAAATGGGAATATCTTCAACTAAAAACTACATAGAAACATTCTGAGAAACTTCATGGTGATGTGTGCATTCATCTTACAGAGATGAATCTTTCTTTTCATTGTGCAGTTTTGAAACACTCTTTTGTAGAATCTGCAAGTGGATAATTGGAGTGCTTTGAGGCCTATTGTTGAAAAGAAAATATCTTCACATGAAATCTACACAGAAGTATTCCGAGAAACCTCTTTGCAATGTGTGCATTCATCACACTGAGTTGAAACTTTCTTTTGATTGAGCAGTTTTGAAACACTCTTTCTCTACAATCTGCAAGTTGATATTTGTAGCACTTAGATTCCTATTGTGGAAAAGGAAATATCTTCACATAAAAACTGCACAGAATCATTCTGAGAAACTTCTGTGCGATATGTGCATTCATCTCACAGTGTTGAACCTTTCTTTTCATTCAGCAGTTTTGAAACTTTATTTTTGTAGAATCTGCAAGTGGATATTTGGAGTGCTTTGAGGCCTATAGTGGAAATGGGAATATCTTCACATAGAAAGCACACAGAAGCATTCTGAGAAACAACTTTGTTAAGTGTGCATTAAACACACAGAGTAGAAACTATCTTTTGATTGAGCAGTTTTGAATCTCTCTTTTTGTAGAAACTGCAAGAGGATATTTGGAGCCCTTTGTGGCCTATGGTGGAAAAGGAAATACCTTCCCATAAAAACTGCAAAAAAGATTTCTGAGGAACGTCTTGGTCATGTGTGCCTTCATCTCACAGAGTTGAAACTTTCTTTTGATTGAGCAGTTTGGAAACACTCTTTTTGTAGTATCTACAAGTGGAAGTTTGGATCGCTTTGAGGCCTATGGTGGAAAAGGAAATATCTTCACATGAGAACTACACAGAAGTATTCTGAGAAACTTCTTTGTGATGTGTGCTTTCATCTCACAATGTTTAACCTGTCTTATGATTGAGCAGTTTTGAAACACTCTTTTTGTAGAAAGTGCAAGTGTATATTTGGAGCCCATGTGGCCTATTGTGAAAAAGGTAATGTCTTCACATAAAAACTACACAGAAGCATTCTGAGAAACTACTTGCTGATATGTGCATTAAACTCACAGAGTTGAACCTATATTTTCATTGAACAGTTTTCTTTCCCTCTTTTGGTAGGATCTGCAAGTGGACATTTGGAGCCCTTTGCGGCCTATGGAGGTAAAGGAAATATCTTCAAATAAAAACTACCCAGAAGCATTCTGAGGAATTTCTTTGCGATGTGTGCATTCAAATCACAGAGTTGAACCTATTTTATGATTCAGCAGTTTTGGAACACTGTTTTTGTAGAATCTTCAAGTGCATATTTAGAGCACTTTGAGGTCTACTGTGGAAAAGCAAATATCTTCACATAAAAACTTCACAGAAGCATTCTGAGAAACTTCTTTGTGATGTCTGCATTCATCTCACACAGCTGAACCTGTCTTATGATTGAGCAGTATTGAAACAATCTTTTTGTAGAATCTGCAAGTGGATATTTGGAGTGCTTTGAGGCCTATTGTGGAAAACGAAATATCTTAACGTAAAAACTACACAGAAGTATTCTGATAAACTTATTTGTGATGTGTGCATTCATCTCACAGATTTGAAACTATCTTATGATTTAGTAGTTTTGAAACACTCTAGTTGTAGAATCTGCAAGTGGATATTTGGGGCGTTTTGAGGCCTATTGTGGAAAAGGAAATATCTTCACATAAAAACTACAAGGAAGAATTCTGAGAAACTTCTTTGTGAAGTGTGCATACATCTCACAGAGTTGAACCTATCTTATGATTGATCAGTTTTGAATCTCTCTTTTTATAGAATCTGCAAGTGGATATCTGGAGCAATTTGTGGTCTGTGGTGGAAAAGGAAATGTCTTCAAATAAAAACTACACAGAAGCATTCTGAGAAACTTATTTGTGATGTGTGCATTCATCTCACAGAGTTGAACCTATCTTATGATTGAGCAGTTGTGAAATACTCTTTTTGTAGAATGTGTAAGTGGATATTTGGAGCGGTTTGAGGCCTATTGTGGAAAAGGAAATATCTTCACGTAAAAGGTACACAGAAGCATTCTCAGAAACTACATTGTGATATTTGCATTCACCTTACAGAGATGAATCTTTCTTTTGATTGAGCAGTTTTGAAACACTCTTTTTGTAGCATCTGCAAGTGGATATTTGGAGCTCTTTGAGGCCTATTGTGGAAAAAGAACTATCTTCACATAAAAACTACACAGAAGCATTCTGAGAAACTTCTGTGTGATGTGTGCGTTCAACTCACATGTTTGAACCTATTTTATGATTGAGCAGTTTTGAAACCCTCTTTTTGTAGAATCTGCAAGTGGATATTTGGAGCTCATGAGGCCTACTCTTTAAAAGAAAATATCTTCACTTAAAGACCACACAGAAGCATTCTGAGAAACTTCTTTGTGATGTGTGCATTCATCTCACAGAGTTAAACTTTTCTTTTGATTGAGCAGTTTTGAAACAGTCTTTTTATAGAATCTGCATTTGGATATTTGGAGAACTTTGATGCATATTGTGCAAAAAAAATCTTCAAGTAAAAACTACACAGTAGCATTCTGATAAACTTCTTCATGAATTGTGAATTCAACTCACAGAGTTTAACCTAGGTTTTGTTTGAGTAGTTTTGAATCTCTCTTTTTGTACAATCCGAAAATGGATATTTGCAGTGCTTTGAGGTCTATTGTGGAAAAGGAAATATCTTCACATAAAAATTTCACAGAAGCTTTCTGAGAAACTACTTTGTGAATTGTGAATTCAACTCACAGAGTGTAACCTACGTTTTGTTTGAGCAGTTTTGAATCTCTCTTTTTGTAGAATCTGAAAGTGGATATTTGGAGCACTTTGAGGCCTATTGTGGAAAAGGAAATATCTTCACATAAAAATTTCACAGAAGAATTCTGAGAGACTACTTTTTGATGAGTGCATTCATCACACAGATTGAACGTATCTTTTGATTGAGCAGTTTTGAAACACACTTTTTGTAGAATCTGCAAGTGGATATTTGGAGGGCTTTGAGGCCTGTTTTGAAAAAGGAAATGTCTTCACGTAAAAACTATACAGTAGCATTCTGAGAAAATTCTTTGTGATGTGTACATTCAACTCACAGATTTCAACCTATTTTTTGATTGAGTAGTTTTGAATCTCTCTTTTTGAAGAATCTGCAACTGGATATTTGGAGTCCTTTGTGGCCTATGGTGGAAACGGAAATATCTTCAAAAAAAAAAAACTACACAGGAGCAGTCTGAGAAACTTCTTTGTGATGTGTGCATTCATCTCACAGAGTTGAACCTCTCTTTGGATTGAGCAGTTTTGAAACCCTTTTTTTGTAGAATCTGCAAGTGGTTACTTGGAGCGCTTTGAAGCTTATTGTCTAAAAGGCAATATCTTCACATAAAAACTACACAGAAGCATTCTGAAAAGCGTCTTTGCGTTGTGTGTTTTCATCTCACAGAGTTGAAAATTTCTTTTGGTTGTACAGTTATTAAACACAGTTTTTGCAGAATCTGCAAGTGGATATTAGGAGCGATTTGAGGCCTACTCTGGAAAATCAAATATTTCACATAAAAACTACACAGAAGCATTCTGAGAAACATTTTTGTGATATGTGCTTTCATCTCAAAGAGTTGAACTTGCTTTTGATTGAGCAGTTTTGTGACACTTTTTTTGTAGATTCTGCAAGAGGATATTTGGAGTGCTTAGAGACCTACGGTGGAATAGGACATATCTTCATGTAAAGACTACACAGAAGCATTCCGAGAAACTTCTTTATGATGTGTGTATTCAACTCACAGAGATGAACCTTTCTTTTGATTGAGTAGTTTTGAAACACTCTCTTTGTAGAATCTGCAAGTGGATATTTGGAGGGCTTTGAGGCCTATTTTGGAAAACGAGATATCTTCACATAAAATCTACACAGAATCATTCTGAGAAACTTCTTTGTGATGTATGCATTCATCTCACAGAGCTGTACCTTTTTTTTGAATGAGCAGTATTGAAACACTCTTGTTGTATAATCTGCAAGTACATATTTGGAGCGCTTTGAGGCCTATTGTGGAAAAGGAAATATCTTCACTTAAAGACCACACAGAAGCATTCTGAGAATTTTCTTTGTGTTGTGTGCATTCAACTCACAGATGTGAATCAATCTTTTGATGAGCAGTTTTGGATCTCTCTTTTTGTAGTATCTGCAGGTGTAAGTTTGGAACCATTTGAGGCCTATGGGGGAAAAGGAAATGCCTTCACATGAAAACTAGACAGAAATATTCTGAGAAACTCCTTTGCAATCTGTGCATTCAACTCACAGAGTTGAACATATCTTTTGATTAAGCCATTTTGAAACTCTCTTTTTGTAGTATCTGCAAGTGGATATTTACAGCCTTTTGTGGTCTGTTGTGGAAAAGGAAATGCCTTCACATAAAAAACAGACACAAGTATTCTGAGAAACTTCTTTGTGATGTGTGCATTCATCTCATAAGATGAACCTTTCTTTTGATTGAGCAGTTTTGAAACAATATTTTTGAAGTATCTGCAAGTGAATATTTGGAACACTTTGAGGTCTATTGGGTAAAAGGAAACAACTTCACATAAAAACTACACAGAAACTTTCTGAGAAGCTTCTCTGTGATGTGTGCATTCAACTCACAGAGTTGAACCTATCTTTTCATTGAACAGTTTTGAAACTCTCTTTTTGTAGAATCTACAAGTGGATATTTGGGGCCATTTGTGGCCTATGGTGGACATGGGAATATCTTCAACTAAAAGCTACACAGAATCATTCTGAGAAACTTCATGGTGATGTGTGCATTCATCTCACAAAGATGAATCTTTCTTTTCAGTTAGTAGTTTTGAAACATTCTTTTTGTAGAATCTACAAGTGGATAATTGGAGCACTTTGAGGCCTATTGTTGAAAAGAAAATATCTTCACATGAAACGTACACAGAAGTATTCCAAGTAACCTCTTTGTGATGTGTGCATTCGTCTCACAGAGTTGAACCTTTCTTTTGATTGAGCAGTTTTGAAAAACTCTTTATGTAGAATCTGCAAGTTGATATTAGGAGCACTTGGATTCCTATTGTGGAAAAGGAAATATCTTCACATAAAAACTGCACAGAATCATTCTGAAAAACTTCTGTGCAATATGTGCATTCATCTCACAGTGTTGAACCTTTCTTTTCATTCAGCAGTTTTGAAACTTTATTTTTGTAGTATCTGCAAGTGGATATTTGGAGCGCTTTGAGGCCTATGGGGGAAACGGGAATATCTTCACATAAAAACTACACAGAAGCATTCTGAGAAACACCTTTGCTAAGTGTGCATTAAACTCACAGAGTTGAAACTATCTTTTGATTGAGCAGTTTTGAGTCTCTCTTTTTATAGAATCTGCAAGAGGATATTTGGAGCCCTTTATGGCCTATAGCGGAAAAGGAAATACCTTCACATAAAAACTACAAAAAAGATTTCTGAGGAACGTCTTGGTCATGTGTGCCTTCATCCCACAGAGTTGAACCTTTCTTTTGATTGAGCAGTTTGGAAACACTCTTTTTGTAGTATCTGCAAGTGGATGTTTGGATCACATTAAGGTCTATGGTGAAAAAAGAAATATCTTCACATGAGAACAACACAGAAGCATTCTGAGAAACTTCTTTGTGATGTGTGTTTAATCTCACAATGTTGAACCATTCTTTTGATTGAGCGGTTTTGAAACACTCATTTTGTAGAATCTGCAAGTGGATATTTGGAGTGCTTTGTGGCCTATGGTGGAAATGGATATATCTTCAAATAAAAACTATGCAGAAGCATTCAGAGAAATTTATTTGGAATGTGTGCATACAACTCACAGAGTTGAACCTATGTTTTGATTGAGCAGTTTTGAAACTCTCTTTTTGTAGAATCTGCAAGTGGATATTTGGAGCCCTTTGCAGCCTATGGTGGAAAAGGAAATATTTTCACATAATAACTACACAGAAGCAAACTGGCGAATGAGGCAGCAGTCAAGATGGCCAAATAGGAACAGCTCTGTTCTACAGTTCCCATCATGAGCAATGCAGAAGATGGGTGATTTCTTCATTTCCATCTGAGATACCAGGTTCATCTCACTAAGGAGTGCCAGACTGTGGGCACAGGATACTGGGTGCAGGGTGCTATGCATGGTCTGAAGCAGAGCTAGACATTTCCTCACATGGGAAGTGCAAGTAGTCAGGGAGTTCCCTTTCCTAGTCAAATAAAGGGGTGACAGATGGCACCTGGAAAATCGAGTCACTCCCACCCTAATACTGCACTTTTTCAATGGGCTTAAAAAATGGCACACCAGGATATTATATCCCACACATGGCTCAGAGGGTCCTATGTCCACAGTGTCTCACTGATTGCTAGCACAGCAGTCTGTGATCAAACTACAAGGTGGCAGTAAGGCTGGTGGTGGGGCACCCCCCATTGCCCAGGCTTTCTTAGGTAAACAAAGCTGCTGGAAAGCTCGAACTGGGTGTAGACCATCACAGCTCTAGGAGGCCTGACTGACTCTGTAGGTTCCACATCTGGGGGCAGGGAACAGACAAACAAAAAGACAGCAGTAACCTCTGTGGACTTAAATGTCCCTGTCTGACAGCTTTGAAGAGAGCAGTGGTTCTCACAGCACACAGCGGGGGATCTGAGAATGGGCAGACTGCCTCCTCAAGTGGGTCCCTGTCCCCTGAACTCTGAGCAGCCTAACTGAGAGGCACAACCCAGTAGGGTCAGACTGACACCTCTCACGGCTGAGTAGTCCTCTGAGACAAAATTTCTAGAGGAAAGATCAGACAGCAGCATCCGTGATTCATGAAAATCCACTGTTCTGCAGTCACTGCTGCTGATACCCAGGCAAACAGGATCTGGAGTGGACCTCTAGAAAACTCCAACAGAACTGCAGCTGAGGGTCTGTTTGTTAGAAGGAAAACTAACAAATAGAAAGGACATCCACAGCAAAAACCCAACTGTACATCACCATCATCAAAGACCAAAAGTAGATAAAACCACAAAGATGAGAAAAAAACAGAGTAGAAAAATGGGAAACTCTAAAAAGCAGAGTGCCTCTCCTCCTCCAAAGGAATGCAGTTCCTCACCAGCAATGGAACAAAGCTGGATGGAGAATGACTTTGACAAGTTGGGAGAAGAAGGCTTCAGACTATCAAACTACTCTGAGCTACAGGAGGAAATTCAAACCAAAGGCAAAGAAGTTAAAAACTTTGAAAAAAAATTAGACGAATGTATAACTAAAATAACCAATACAGAGAAGTGCTTAAAGGAGCTGATGGAGCTGAAAGCCAAGGTTCCAGAACTATGCGAAGAATGCAGAAGCCTCAGGAGACAATGTGATCAACTGGAAGAAAGGGTATCAGTGATGGAAGATGAAATGAATGAAATTAAGCGAGAAGGGAAGTTTAGAGAAAAAAGAATAAAAAGAAATGAACAAAGCCTCCAAGAAATATGGGACTATGTGAAAAAACCATATCTATGTCTGATTGGTGTACCTGAAAGTGATATGGAGATTGGAACTAAGTTGGAAAACACTCTGCAGGATATTATCCAGGAGAACTTCCCCAATCTAGCAAGGCAGGACAACATTCAGATTCAGAAAATACAGAGAATGCCAAAAAGACACTCCTCGAGAAGAGCAACTCGAAGACACATAATTGTCAGATTCACCAAAGTTGAAATGAAGGAAAAAATGTTAAGGGCAGCCAGAGAGAAAGGCCAGGTTACCCTCAAAGAGAAGCCCATCAGACTAACAGCTGATCTCTTGGCAGAAACTCTACAAGCCAGAAGAGAGTGGGGGCCAATATTCAACATTCTTAAAGAAAAGAATTTTCAACCCAGAATTTGATATCCAGCCAAACTAAGCTTCACAAGTGAAGGAGAAATAAAATACTTTACAGACAAGCAAATGCTGAGAGATTTTGTTGCCACCAGGCCTGCCCTATAAGAGCTCCTGAAGGAAGCACTAAACATGGAAAGAAACAACCAGTACCAGCCACTGCAAAATCATGCCAAATTGTAAAGACCATTGTGGCTAGTAAGAAACTGCATCAACTAACGAGCAAAATAACTAGCTAACATCATAAAGACAGATCAAATTCACACATAACAATATTAACTCTAAATGTAAATGGACTAAATGCTCTAATTAAAGACACAGACTGGCAATTTGGATGAAGAGTCAAGACGCATCAGTGTGCTGTATTCAGGAAACCCATCTCATGTGCAGAGACACAAATAGGCTCAAAATAAAACGATGGAGGAAGATCTACCAAGTAAATGAAAAACAAAAAAAGGCAGGGGTTGCAATCCTAGTCTCTGATAAAACAGACTTTAAACCAACAAAGACCAAAAGAGACAAAGAAGGCCATTACATAATGGTAAAGGGATCAATTCAACAAGAAGAGCTAACTATCCTAAATATATGTGCACCCAATACAGGAGGGCCCAGATTCATAAAGCAAGCCCTGAGTGACCTACAAAGAGACTTAGACTCCCACACATTAATAATGGGAGACTTTAACATCCCACTGTCAATATTAGACAGACCAATGACACAGTTAACAAGTACTCCCAGGAATTGAATTCAGCTCTACACCAAGAGGATCTAATAGACATCTACAGAACTCTCCACGCCAAATCGACAGAATATACATTTTTTTCAGCACCACACTGCACCTATTCCAAAATTGACCACATAGCTGGAAGTAAAGCCCTCCTCAGCAAATGTAAAAGAACAGAAATTATAACAAACTGTCTCTCAGACCACAGTGCAATCAAACTAGAACTCAGGATTAAGAAACTCACTCAAAACCACTCAACTACATGGAAACTGAACAACCTGCTCCTGAATGACTACTGGGTACATAACGAAATGAAGGCAGAAATAAAGATGTTCTTTGAAACCAACGAGAAAAAAGACACAACATACCAGAATCTCCGGGACACATTCAAAGCAGTGTGAAGAAGGAAATTTATAGCACTAAATGCCCACAAGAGAAAACAGGAAAGATCCAAAATTGACACCCTAACATCACAATTAAAAGAACTAGAAAAGCAAGAGCAAACACATTCAAAAGCTAGCAGAAGGCAAGAGATAACTAAAATCAGAGCAGAACTGAAAGAAATAGAGACACAAAAAACCCTTCAAAAAATTAATGAATCCAGGAGCTGGTTTTTTGAAAAGATCAACAAAATTGATAGACCGCTAACAAGACTAATAAAGAAGAAAAGAGAGAAGAATCAAATAGATGCAATAAAAAATGATAAAGCAGGTATAACCATCAATCCCACAGAAATATGAACTACCATTAGAGACTACTACTTACATTTCTACACAAATAAACTAGAAAATCTAGAAGAAGTGGATACATTCCTCGACACATACACTCTCCCAAGACTAAACCAGGAAGAAGTTGAATCTCTGAATAGACCAATAACAGGATCTGAAATTGTGGCAATAATCAATAGCTTACCATCCAAAAAGAATCCAGGAACAGATGGATTCACAGCCGAATTCTACCAGAGGCACAAGGAGGAGCTGGTACCATTCCTTCTGAAACTATTCCAATTAATAGAAAAAGAAGGAATCCTCCCTAACTCATTTTATGAGGCCAGCATCATCCTGATACCAAAGCCGGGTAGAGACGCAACCAAAAAACAAAACTTTAGACCAATATCCTCGATGAACATTGATGCAAAAATCCTCACTAAAATACTGGCAAACAGAATCCAGCAGCACATCAAAAAGCTGATCCACCATGATCAAGTGGGCTTCATCCCTGGGATGCAAGGCTGGTTCAATATACACAAATCAATAAATGTAACCCAGCATATAAACAGAACCAAAGACAAAAACCACATGATTATCTCAATAGATGCAGAAAAGGCCTTTGACAAAATTTAACAACACTTCATGCTTAAAACTCAATAAATTAGGTATTGATGGGACGTATCTCAAAATAATAAGAGCTATTTATGACAAACCCACAGCCAATATCATACTGAATGGGCAAAAACTGGAAGCATTTCCTTTGAAAACTGGCACAAGACAGGGATGCCCTCTCTCACCACTCCTATTCAACATAGTGTTGGAACTTCTGGCCAGGGCAATCAGGCAGGAGAAGGGAATAAAGGGTATTCAATTAGGAAAAGAGGAAGTCAAATTGTGCTTGTTTGCAGATGACATGATTGTATATCTAGAAAACCCCATTGTCTTAGCCCAAAA
>NC_000020.11:28757851-28790010 GCF_000001405.40 Homo sapiens | reverse complement strand
AGGAGACTACAAACCACTCCTCAATGAAATAAAAGAGGATACAAAGAAATGGAAGAACATTCCATGCTCATGGGTAGGAAGAATCAATATCGTGAAAATGGCCATACTGCCCTACATAATTTATAGATTCAATGTCATCCCCATCAAGCTACCAATGACTTTCTTCACAGAATTGGAAAAAACTACTTTAAAGTTCATATGGAACCAAAAAAGAGCCCACATCACCAAGTCAATCCTAAGCCACAAGAACAAAGCTGGAGGCATCACGCTACCTGACTTCGAACTATACTACAAGGTTACAGTAACCAAGACAGCATGGTACTGGTACCAAAACAGAGATATAAATCAATGGAACAGAACAGAGCCCTCATAAATAAAGCTGCCTATCTAAAACTATCTGATCTTTGATAAACCTGAACAAAACCAGCAATGGGGAAAGGATTCCCTGTTTAATAAATGGTGCTGGGAAAAATGGCTAGCCATATGTAGAAAGCTGAAGCTGGATCCCTTCCTTACACCTTATACAAAAATTAATTCAAGATGGATTAAAAACTTAAACGTTAGACCTAAAACCATAAAAATCCTAGAGGAAAACCCAGGCATTACCATTCAGGACATAGGCATGGGCAAGGACTTCATGTCTAAAACACCAAAAGCAATGGCAACAAAAGCCAAAATTGACAAATGGGATCTAATTAAACTAAAGAGCTTCTGCAAAGCAAAAGAAACTACCATCAGAGTGAACAGGCAATGTAAAAAATGGGAGAAAGTTTTCACAACCTATTTATCTGACAAAGGGCTAATATCCAGAATTTGCAATGAACTCAAACAAATTTACAAGAAAAAACAAACAACCCCATCAAAAAGTGGGTGAAGGACATGAACAGACACTTCTCAACAGAAGACATTTATGCAACCAAAAAACTCATGGAAAAATGCTCATTCTTAACTGGCCATCAGAGAAATGCAAATCAAAACCACAATGAGATACCATCTCACACCGGTTAGAATGGCAATGATTAAAATTCAGGAAACAACAGGTGTTGGAGAGGATGTGGAGAAATAGGAACACTTTTACACTTTTTGTGGGGCTGTAAACTAGTTCAACCATTGTGGAAGTCATTGTGGCCATTCCTCAGGGATGTAAAACTAGAAATACAATTTGACCCAGCCATCCCATTACTGGGTATATACCCAAGGACTATAAATCATGCTGCTATAAAGACACATGCACACATAAGTTTATTGCAGCACTATTCACAATAAGAAAGACTTGGAACCAAACCAAATGTCCAACAATAACAGAGTGGATTAAGAAAATGTGGCACATATACACCATGGAATACTATGGAGCCATAAAATGATGAGTTCATGTCCTTTGTAGGGACATGGATGAAATCGGAAATAATCATTCTCAGTAAACTATTGCAAGGACAAAAAACCCAACACTGCATGTTCTCACTCATAGGTGGGAATTGAGCAATGAGAACACATGGACACAAGAAGGGGAACATCACACACTGGGGACAGATGTGGGGTGGGGGAGGGGGGAGGGATAGCATTAGGAGATATACCTAATGCTAAATGACGAGTTAATGGGTACAGCATACCAACATGGCACGTGTACACATATGTAACTAAGCTGCACAATGTGCACATGGACCCTAAAACTTAAAGTGTATTAATAATAATAAAATAAAATAAATTAAAAAAAATACACAGGAGTACTCTGAGAAACTTCTTTGCGATGTGTGCATTCAACTCTCAGAGTTGAACATATCTTTTGATTGAACAGTTTTGAAAATATCTTTTTGTAGAATCTGGAAGTGGATATATGGAGACCTTTGTGGCCTATGGTGCAAAAGGAAACATCTTCACATAAAAACTAAACAGAAGCGTTTTGAGAAATTTATTGGTGATGTGTGTATTCATCTCACAGAGTTGAATATTTCTTTTGATTGTGCAGCTTGAAACACTGTTTTTGTAGAATCTGCAAGTGGATATTTGGAGCGCTATGTGGCCTATTGTGGAAAAGGAAATATCTTCACATAAAAACTTCACAGAACCATTCTGAGAAACTTCTTTGTTATGTGTGTATTCAACTCACAGAGTTGAACCTGTCTTTTTAGAGGGCAATTTTCAAACTCTCTTTTTGTAGAATCTGCAAGTGGATATTTGGAGCGATTTGGGGCCTATTGTGTTAAAGGAAATATCTTCACATAAAAACTACACAGAAGCATTCTGAGAAGCTTCTTTTTGATGTGTGCATTCATCTGACAGAGTTGAAACTTTCTTTTGTTTGAGCAGTTTGGAAACAATCTTTTTGTAGAATCTGCAAGTGGATATTTGGAGCCCTTTGAGGCTTATTGTGGAAAAGGAAATATCTTCAGATAAACACTACACATGAGCATTCTGAAAAACTGCTTGGTGATGTGTGCATTCATTTCACTGAGTTGAACTTTTCTTTTGATTAAGCAGTTTTGAAATGCTCTTTTTGTGGAATGTGAAATTGGATATTTGGAGTGCTTTGAGGCCTACGGTGGAAAAGGAAATATCTTCACATAAAAACTGCAAAGAAGGATTTTGAGAAACTACCTTGTGATGTGTGCTTTCAACTCACAGATTTGAACATATCTTTGGATTGAGCAGCTTTGAACCTGTATTTTTGTGCAATCTTCAAGTGGATATTTTGAGCCTTTTGCAGCCTATGTTGGAAAAGGAAATATCTTCAGATAAAAACTACACAGAAGCATTCTGAGAAACTTCTTTGTGATGTGTACATTCATCTCACAGAGTAGAACCTTTCTTTTGATTGAACAGTTATGAAATACACTTTTTGTAGAATGTTCAAGTGGATATTTGGAGGGCTTTGAGGCCTATTGTGGAAAACTTAATATCTTCACATAAAAACTACTCAGAATCATTCTGAGAAATTTCTTTGTGATGTGTGAATTCATCTGAAAGAATTCAACCTTTCTTTTTTGGGGGCAGTTTGGAAACACTCCTTTTATAGAATCTGCAAGTGAATATTTGGAGGGATTTGAGGCCTATGGCGGAAAAGGAAATATCTTTACATAAAACCTATACAAAAGCATTCTGAGAAACTTCTTTGTGATGTGTGCATTCAACTCTCAGAGCTAAATCTATCTTTTGATTGACCAGTTTTGAATCTCTCTTTTGTAGAATCTGCAAGTGGATATTTGGAGCATTTGAGGCCTAGTGTGGAAAAGGAAATATCCTCACATAAAAACTACGCAGAAGCATTCTGAGAAACTTCTTTGTGATGTGTGCATTCATCTCACAGGGTTGAACATTTCTTTTGATTGTGCAGCTTGGAAACACTGTTTTTGTAGAATCTGCAAGTGGATATTTGGAGCGCTATGTGGCCTATTGTGGAAAAGG
Source organism: Homo sapiens (assembly GCF_000001405.40). Lineage (NCBI taxonomy): Eukaryota > Metazoa > Chordata > Mammalia > Primates > Hominidae > Homo > Homo sapiens. The sequence continues at coordinate 28,786,608 of NC_000020.11, read as the reverse complement.
AAATATCTTCATATAAAAACTTCACAGAAGCATTCTGAGAAACTTCTTTGTTATGTGTGTATTCAACTCACAGAGTTGAACTTATCTTTTGATACAGCAGTCTTCAAACTCTCTTTTTGTAGAATCTGCAAGTGGATATTTGGAGCCCTTTGTGGGCTATGGTATAAAAGAAAATATCCTCAAATAAAAACTATACAGAAGCATCCTGAGAAACTTCTTTGTGATGTGTGCATTCATCTCACAGAGTTGAACTTTTCTTTTGATTGTGCAGTTTGGGAACACTCTTTTTGTAGAATCTGCAGGTGGATATTTGGAGGGTTTTGAGTCCTATGGTGGTAAAGGAAATGTCGTCATATGAAAAATACACAGAGGCATTCTGGGAAACTTTTTTCTGACATGTGCATTCACCTTCCAGAGTTGAACCTATCGTTTGATTAAGAAGTTTTGAAACTCTCTTTTTCTAGAACCTGAAAGTGGATATTTGGAGCCATTTGCGGCCTGTGGTGTAAAAGGAAATATCTTCACTTTAAAACTACACAGAAACATTCTGAGAAACTTCTTTGTGACAATGCATTCATCTCACAGAGTTGAAGCTTTGTTTTGATTGAGCAGTTTGGAAACACTTTTTGTAGAATCTTCAATGGATATTTGGAGTGCTTTAAGGCCTACTGTGGAAAAGGAAATATCTTCACTTAAAAACAACACAGAAACATTCTGAGAAACTTCATCGTGATGTGTGCATTCATCTGACAGAGATGAACTCTTCTTTAGTTTTAGCAGTTTGGAAACACTCTTTTTGCAGAATCTGCAATTTAATATTTGGAGCACTTTGAGGCCTACGGTGGAAAAGGAAATATCTTCACATAAAAACTACAAAAAAACTATTTTGAGAAACTTCTTTGTTGTGTGTGCATTCAACTCACAGGGTTGAACCTATCTTTTGGTTGACCAGTTTTGAAACTCTCTTTTTGTAGAATCTGCAAGTGGATATTAGGAAACCCTTGTAGCGTATGGTGGAAAAGGAAATGTCTTCTCATAAAAAGTACACACAAGCATTCTGAGAAACTTCTTTGTGATGTATTCATTCTACTCACAGAGTTGAACGTATTTTTTGATTGAGCGGTTTGAAACTATCTTTTTCAATAATCTGCAAGTGGATATTGGGAGCCCTATGCAGCCTAATATGGAAAAGGAAATATCTTCACATAAAAACTACACAGAAGAATTTTGAGAAACTTCTTTGTGATGTGTGCATTCATCTCAGAGTGTTGAACGTTTCTTTTGGTTGAGCAGTTTGGAAACACTCATTTTGCAGAATGTGCAAGTTGATATCTGTAGCACTTTGAGGCGTCTGGTGGAAACAGAAATATCTTCACATAAAAACTACACAGAAGCATTCTGAGAAATTTCTCTGTGATCTGGGCATTCAACTCACAGGGTTGAATCTATCTTTTGATGGAGCAGTTTTGAGTCTCTCTTTCTGTGGAATCTGCAAGTGGATATTTGCAACCATTTGCGGCCTATGGTGGAAAAAAAAATATCATCACATAAAAACTACACAGAAGCATTCTGAGAAAGATTTTATGATGTGTGCATTCATCTCATGGAGTTGAACCTATCTTTTGATGGAGCAGTTTTGAAACTCTCTTTTTGAAGATTCTGGAATGGGTATTTAGAGGCCTTTGCAGCATATATTGCAAAAGGAAATATCCTCACATAAAAACTACACAGAAGCATTCTGAAAAACTTCTTTGTGATGTGTGCATTAAACTCACAGAGTTGAAGCTACCTTTGATTGAGCAGTTTTGAATCTCTCCTTCTGTAGAATCTGCAAGTGGATATTTGGAGCCCTTTGCAGCCTATGGTGGAAAAGGAAGTAACTTCACATAAAAACTACACAGAAGCATTCTGAGAAAATTCTTGGTGTTGTGTGCATTCATCTCACACACTTGAACCTATCTTTTGATTGAGCAATTTTGAAACCCTCCGTTGGAAGAATCTGAAAGTGGATATCTGGAGCGCTTTGGTACCTATTGTGGAAAAGGAAATATCTTCACAAAAATAAAACACATGGAAACATTCTGAGGAACTTCTTTGTGATGTATGCATTCATCTCACAGAGTTGAACCTTTCTGTCGATTGAGCAGTTTTCACATTCTTTTTGTAGAATCTGCAAGTGGATATTTGGAGCTCTTTGAGGTCTATTGTGGAAAAGGAAATATCTTCACATAAAAATTACACAGAAGCATTCTGAGGAAGTTCTTTGTGATGTGTGCATTCATTTGACAGAGTTGAACATTTCTTTTTTTGAGCCATTTGGGATCACTCTTTTTGTAGAATCTGTAAGTGGATATTTGGAGAGTTTTGAAGTCTATGGTGTAAAAGTAAATATCTTCACATAAAAACTACACAGAAGCATTCTGAGAAACTTCTTTGTGATGAGTGCATTCATAACACAGAGTTGAACCTATCTTTTGATTCAGTAGTTTTGAATCTCTCTTTATGTAGAATCTGCAAGTAGATATTTGGAGCCCTTTTCAGCCTATGGAGGAAAAGGAAGTATCATGAAATAAAAATTACACGGAAGCATTCTGAGAATCTTCTCTGGGTTGTGTGCATTCATCTCACATTGTTGAACCTTTCTTTTGGTAGAGCAGTTTTGAAACACTGTTTTGTAGAATCTGCAAGAGGATATTTGGAGTGCTTTGAGGCCTATTGTGGAAAAGGAAATAATTTCACATAAAAACTACTCTGAAACATTCTGAGAAACTAATCATTCTGAGAAACTAATTTGTAATGAGTGCATTCATCACATAGATTTGAACTTTTCTTTTGATTGAGCAGTTTTTAAACACTCTTTTTGTAGAATTTGCAAGTGGATATTTGGAGGGATTTTAGGCCTATTTTAGAAAAAGAAATATCTTCACATAAAAACTACACAGAAGCACTCTGAGAAACTTCTTTGTGATGTATGCATTCATCTCACAGAGTTGAACCATTCTTTTGATTGAGCAGTTTTGAAACACTCTTTTGGTAGAATCTGCAAGTGGATATTTGGAGCCCTTTGAGGCCTACTGTGGAAAAACAAATATCTTCACATAAAAGCCACACAGAGGCATTCCGAGAAACTTCTTTGTGATGTGTGCATTCATCTCACAGTGTTGAAACTTTCTTTTGATTGAGGAGTTTTGAAACACTGTTTTGTAGAATCTGCAAGAGGATATTTGGAGTGCTTTGAGGCCTATTGTGGAAAAGGAAATAATTTCACATAAAAACTACTCTGAAACTTTCTGAGAAACTAATCATTCTGAGAAACTAATTTGTGATGAGTGCATTCATCACATAGATTTGAACTTTTCTTTTGATTGAGCAGTTTTGAAACACTCTTTTTGTAGAATCTGCAGTGGATATTTGGAGGGATTTTAGGCCTATTCTAGAAAAGAAAGTATCTTCACATTAAAACTACACAGAAGCATTCTGAGAAACTTCTTTGTGATGTGTGCATTCATCTCACAGAGTTGCACCATTCTTTTGATTGAGCAGTTTTGAAACACTCTTTTGGTAGAATCTGCAAGTGGATATTTGGAGTGCTTTGAGGTCTAGTTTAGGAAAGGAAATATCTTCACATAAAAACTACACAGCAGCATTCTCTGAAACTTCCTTGTGATGTGTGCATTCATCTCACAGAGTTGAACCTGTCTTTTGATTGAGCAGATTTGACACACTCTTTTTGTAGAATCAGCAGCTGGAAATTTGGTGGGCTTGGAGGCCTATTGTGGAAAAGAAAATATCTTCACATAAAAACTACACAGAAGCATTCTGAGAAACTTCTTTGTGGTTTGTGTATTCAACTCACATTCTTGAACCTATCTTTTGATTTAGCAATTTTGGATCTCTCTTTTTCTAGAATCTGGAAGTGGATATTTGGAGCAATTTGTGGTCTATGGAGGAAAAGGAAATATCTTCAAATAGAATCTACACAGAAGAATTCTCAGAAACTTCTACGTGATTTATGCATTTATCTCACAGAGTTGAACCTGTCTTTTGATTCAGCGGGCTTCAAACACTCTTTTTGTAGAATCAGCAAGTGGATATTTGGTGAGCTTTGAGGCTTTTTGGAAAAGGAAATATCTTCACATAAAAACTACACAGAAGCATTCTAAGAAACTTCCCTGTGATGTATGCGTTCATCTCCCAGAGATAAAACTTTCTTTTGATTGAGCAGTTTTGAAGCACTCTTTTTGTAGAATCTGCAAGTGGATATTTGGAGAACTTTTTGGCTTATGGTGGAAAGCGAAATACCTTCACATAAAAACTACACTGAAGCCTTCTGAGAAACTTCTTTGTGATGTGTTCATTCAACTCACAGCCTTGAACCTATCTTTTGATTGAGCAGTTTTGGATCTCTCTTTTTCTACAATCTGCAAGTGCATATTTGGAGCCCTTTGCGGTCCATGGAGGCAAAGGAAATATCTTCAAATAAAAACTACACAGAAGCATTCTGAGAAACTTCTTGGTGATGTGTGCATTCAATTCACAGAGGTGAACCTATATTATGATTGAGCAGTTTTGAAGAACTCTTTTTGTAGATTCTGCAAGTCTATATTTGAAGCCCTTTGTGGTCTGTGCTGGAAAGGGAAATATCTTCAAATAAAAAAGCACAGAAGAATTCTGAGAAACTACCTTGTCATGTGTGCATTCACCTCACATAGTTGAACATACCTTATGATTGAACAGCGTTGAAACACACTTTTTGTAGAATGTGCAAGTGGATATTTGGAGTGCTTTGAGTCCTATTGTGGAAGAAGAAATATCTTCACATAAATACTACACAGAAGTATTCTAAGAAACTTCTTTGTGATGGGTGCATTCATCTCACAGAGTTTAACTTTTCTTTTGATTGAGCAGTTTTGAAACACTCTTTTTGCAGAATCTGCAAGTGGATATTTGGGTGGAATTTAGGCCTATTTTGGAATAGAATGTATCTTCACATAAAAACTACACAGAAGTATTCTGAGAAACTTCTTTGTGATGTGTCCATTCAACTCACAGAGTTGAACCTATCTTTTGATTGAACAGTTTTGAATCTCACTTTTTTTATTATCTGCAAGTGGACATTTGGAGCCTTTTGAGGCCTATGGTGGAAAAAGGAATATCTTCACATAAAACTACACAGAAGAATTCTGAGAAACTTCTATGTGAAGTGTGCCTTAATATCACAAAGTTGAACCTATCTTATTATTGAGCATTTTGAAACACTCTTTTTGTAGAATCTGCAAGTGGATAATTGGAGCGCTTTGAGGTCTTTTTTGGAAAAGGAAATATCTTCACAAAAAAACTACACAGAAGCATTCTGACAAACTTTCTGGTGATGTGGGCATTCTTCTCCCAGAGTGGAAACTTTCTTTTGATTGAGCAGCTTAGAAACACTCTTTTTGTAGAATCTGCAAGTGGATATTTGGAGCCCTTTTTTTCTTATAGTGGACAAGGAAATATCTTCACATAGAAACTACACAGAATCATTCTGAGAAACTTCTTTGTGATGTGTGCATTCATCTCAAAATGTTGAATCTATGTTATGGTTTAGCAGTTTTCAAACCCTCTCTTTGTAGAATCTGCAAGTGGATCTTTGGTATGATTTGAGGCATATTGTGGAAAAGGATATATGTTCACATAAAAACTACACAAAAGCATTCTGAGAAAGTTCTTTGTGATGTGTGCATTGAACTCCCATATTCTAATATGTCTTTTGATTGAGCAGTTTTGAAACACTGTTTTTATAGAATCTGCAAGTGGATATTTGGTGGGCTTTGAGGCCTATTTTGGAAAAGGAAACGTCTTCACATAAAAACTACACAGAAGCATTCTGAGAAACTTCTTTGTGATTTGTGCATTCAACTCACAGTCTTGAACCTATCTTTCAATTGAGCAGTTTTGGATCTCTCTTTTTCTAGGATTTGCAAGTGGATATTTGGAGCCCTTTGCAGTCCATGGAGGCAAAGGAAATATCTTCAAATAAAAACTACACAGAAGCATTCTGAGAAACTACTTTGTGATGCGTGCATTCATCTCACAGAGATGAACCTATCTTATGACTGAGCAGCTTTGAAACACTCTCTTTGCAGAATCTTCAGGTGTATATTTGGAGTGCTTTTTGGCTTATTGTGTAAAAGGAAATATCTTCACATAAAACTTACACAGATTTATTCTGAGAAACTACTTTTTGTTGTGTGTATTCATCTAACAGAGTTGTAAGTTTCTTTTGATTGAGCAGTTTTGAAACACTGTTTTTATAGAATCTGCAAGTGGATATTTGGAGCGCTTTGAGGCCTACTGTGGAAAAGCAAATATCTTCACGTAAAAACTACACAGAAGCATTCTGAGAAACATCTATGTGATGTGTGCATTCATCCCACAGAGTTGAAAGTTTCTTTTGATTGAGAACTTTTGACAAACTCTTTTTGTAGAATCTGCAAGTGGATATTTGGAGCGCTTTTATACCTGTTGTGGAAAAGGAAATATCTTCCCATAAAAACTACACAGAAGCATTCCAAGAAACTTCTTTGTGATGTGTGCATTCAACTGATAGAGTTGAACCTATCTCTTGATTGAGCAGTTTTGAATTTCTCTTTTTGCAGAATCTGCAAGTGGATATTTGAAGCCCTTTGTGGCCAATGGAGGATAAGGAAATATCTTCAAATAAATACTACACAGAAGCATTCTGAGAAACTTCTTTGTGATGTGTGCATTCATCTCATAGATTTGAACATATCTTATTATTGAGTATTTTTGAAACACTCTCTTTGTAGAATCTGCAAGTGGATACTTGGAGGGCTTTCAGGACTCTTGTGCCAAAATTGACCACATATTTGGAAGTAAAGCTCTCCTCAGCAAATGTAAAAGAACAGAAATTATAACAAACTATCTCTCAGACCACAGTGCAATCAAACTAGAACTCAGGATTAAGAATCTCACTCAAAGCCGCTCAACTATATGGAAACTGAACAACCTGCTCCTGAATGACTACTGGGTACATAGTGAAATGAAGGCAGAAATAAAGATGTTCTTTGAAACCAACGAGAACAACGACACCACATACCAGAATCTCTGGAACGCATTCAAAGCAGTGTGCAGAGGGAAATTTATAGCACTAAATGCCCACAAGAGAAAGCAGGAAAGATCCAAAATTGACAACCTAACATCACAATTAAAAGAACTAGAAAAGCAAGAGCAAACACATTCAAAAGCTAGCAGAAGGCAAGAAATAACTAAAATCAGAGCAGAACTGAAGGAAATAGAGACACAAAAAACCCTTCAAAAAATCAATGAATCCAGGAGCTGGTTTTTTGAAAGGATCAACAAAATTGATAGACTGCTAGCAAGACTAATAAAGAAAAAAAGAGAGAAGAATTAAATAGACACAATAAAAAATGATAAAGGGGATATCACCACTGATCCCACAGAAATACAAACTACCATCAGAGAATACTACAAACACCTCTATGCAAATAAACTAGAAAATCTAGAAGAAGTGGATACATTCCTCGACACATACACTCTCCCAAGACTAAACCAGGAAGAAGTTGAATCTCTGAATAGACCAATAACAGGATCTGAAATTGTGGCAATAATCAATAGTTTACCAACCAAAAAGAGTCCAGGACCAGATGGATTCACAGCTGAATTCTACCAGAGGTACAAGGAGGAACTGGTACCATTCCTTCTGAAACTATTCCAATCAATAGAAAAAGAGGGAATCCTCCTTAACTCATTTTATGAGACCAGCATCATTCTGATACCAAAGCCGGGCAGAGACACAACCAAAAAAGAGAATTTTAGACCAATATCCTTGATGAACATTGGTGCAAAAATCCTCAATAAAATACTGGCAAACAGAATCCAGCAGCACATCAAAAAGCTGATCCACCATGATCAAGTGGGCTTCATCCCTGGGATGCAAGGCTGGTTCAATATACACAAATCAATAAATGTAATCCAGCATATAAACAGAGCCAAAGACAAAAACCACATGATTATCTCAATAGATGCAGAAAAAGCCTTTGACAAAATTCAACAACCCTTCATGCTAAAAACTCTCAATAAATTAGGTATTGATGGGACGTATTTCAAAATAATAAGAGCTATCTATGACAAACCCACAGCCAATATCATACTGAATGGGCAAAAACTGGAAGCATTCCCTTTGAAAACTGGCACAAGACAGGGATGCCCTCTCTCACCGCTCCTATTCAAAATAGTGTTGGAAGTTCTGGCCAGGGCAATCAGGCAGGAGAAGGAAATAAAGGGTATTCAATTAGGAAAAGAGGAAGTCAAATTGTCCCTGTTTGCAGACGACATGATTGTTTATCTAGAAAACCCCATTGTCTCAGCCCAAAATCTCCTTAAGCTGATAAGCAACTTCAGCAAAGTCTCAGGATACAAAATCAATGTACAAAAATCACAAGCATTCTTATACACCAACAACAGACAAACAGAGAGCCAAATCATGAGTGAACTCCCATTCACAATTGCTTCAAAGAGAATAAAATACCTAGGAATCCAACTTACAAGGGATGTGAAGGACCTCTTCAAGGAGAACTACAAACCATCGCTCAAGGAAATAAAAGAGGACACAAACAAATGGAAGAACATTCCATGCTCATGGGTAGGAAGAATCAATATCGTGAAAATGGCCATACTGCCCAAGGTAATTTACAGATTCAATGCCATCCCCATCAAGCTACCAATGACTTTCTTCACAGAATTGGAAAAAACTACTTTAAAGTTCATATGGAACCAAAAAAGAGCCTGCATCGCCAATTCAATCCTAAGCCAAAAGAACAAAGCTGGAGGCATCACACTACCTGACTTCAAACTATACTACAAGGCTACAGTAACCAAAACAGCATGGTACTGGTACCAAAACAGAGATATAGATCAATGGAACAGAACAGAACCCTCAGAAATAATGCCGCATATCTACAACTATCTGATCTTTGACAAACCTGAGAAAAACAAGCAATGGGGAAAGGATTCCCTATTTAATAAATGGTGCTGGGAAAACTGGCTAGCCATATGTAGAAAGCTGAAACTGGATCCCTTCCTTACACCTTATACAAAAATCAATTCAAGATGGATTAAAGATTTAAACGTTAGACCTAAAACCATAAAAACCCTAGAAGAAAACCTAGGCATTACCATTCAGGACATAGGCGTGGGCAAGGACTTCATGTCCAAAACACCAAAAGCAATGGCAACAAAAGCCAAAATTGACAAATGGGATCTAATTAAACTAAAGAGCTTCTGCACAGCAAAAGAAACTACCATCAGAGTGAACAGGCAACCTACAACATGGGAGAAAATTTTCGCAACCTACTCATCTGACCAAGGGCTAATATCCAGAATCTACAATGAACTCAAACAAATTTACAAGAAAAAAACAAACAACCCCATCAAAAAGTGGGCAAAGGACATGAACAGACACTTCTCAAAAGAAGACATTTATGCAGCCAAAAAACACATGAAAAAATGCTCACCATCACTGGTCATCAGAGAAATGCAAATCAAAACCACTATGAGATATCATCTCACACCAGTTAGAATGGCAATCATTAAAAAGTCAGGAAACAACAGGTGCTGGAGAGGATGTGGAGAAATAGGAACACTTTTACACTGTTGGTGGGACTGTAAACTAGTTCAACCATTGTGGAAGTCAGTGTGGCGATTCCTCAGGGATCTAGAACTAGAAGTACCATTTGACCCAGCCATCCCATTACTGGGTATATACCCAAATGACTATAAATCATGCTGCTATAAAGACACAGGCACATGTATGTTTATTGCGGCATTATTCACAATAGCAAAGACTTGGAACCAACCCAAATGTCCAACAATGATAGACTGGATTAAGAAAATGTGGCTCATGTATACCATGGAATACTATGCAGCCATAAAAAATGATGAGTTCATGTCCTTTGTAGGGACATAGATGAAATTGGAAACCATCATTCTCAGTAAACTATAGCAAGAACAAAAAACCAAACACCGCATATTCTCACTCATAGGTGGGAATTGAACAATGAGATCACATGGACACAGGAAGGGGAATATCACACTCTGGGGACTGTGGTGGGGTCGGGGGAGGGGGGAGGGATAGCATTGGGAGATATACCTAACGCTAGATGACACGTTAGTGGGTGCAGCGCACCAGCATGGCACATGTATACATATGTAACTAACCTGCACAATGTGCACATGTACCCTAAAACTTAAAGTATAATTAAAAAAAAAAAATTAAAAAAAAAAGAATGAATACAAAAAAAAAAGAAATATCTTCACATAAAAACTACACAAAAGCATTCTGAGATACTTCTTTATGATGTATGCATTCAACTCAGAGAGTTGAACCTATGTTTCGATTGCGAAGTTTTGAAACACTGTTTGTAGAATCTGCAAGTGGATATTTGGAGCGCTTTGAGGCCTATTGTGGAAAAGGTAATATCTTCACATAAAAACTACAAAGAAGCATTCTGAGAAACTTCTTTGTGATGTGTGAATTAAAGTCACAGAGTTTAACCTATCTTTTGATTGAGAGTTTTGAATCTCTCTTTTTGTAGAATCTGCAAATGGATATTTGGAGCCCTTTGTGGCCTATGGACGATAAGGAAATATCTTTAAATAAACACTACACAGAAGCATACTGAGAAACTTCTTCGTGATGTATGCATTCATCTCACGGAGTTGAAACTATCTTATGATTGAGCTGATTTGAAACACTGGCTTTGTAGAAGCTGCAAGTGGATATTTGGAGCGCTTTGAGGCCTACTGTGGAAAAGGAAATATTTTCACATAAAAACCACACACAAAAATTCTGATAAATTTCTTTGTGATGTGTGCATTCATCTCACAGAGTTGAAACTTTCCTTTGTATGAGCAGTTTTGCCACACTCTCTTGGAGAATTTAGAAGTGGATAATTGGAGCACTTTGAGGTCTATTGTGGAAAAGGAAATATCTTCACATAAACACTACAAAGAAGTATTCTGAGAAACTAATTTGTGATGTGTGCATTAAACTCACAGAGGTGAACTTATCTTTTCATTGAGCAGTTTTGAAACAATCTTTTTGTAGAAACTGCAAGTGGATACTTGGAACACTTTGAGGCCTATTGTGGAAAAGGAAATATCTTCACATAGAAACTACACAGTAGAATTCTGTGAAACTTCTTTGTGATGTGTGCATTCAACTCACAGAGTTGAAACTTTCTTTTCATTGACCAGTTTGGAAACATTATTTTTTTAGAAACTGCAAGTGGATATGTGGAGCTTTTTGTGGCCTAAGGTGGAAAAGGAAATATCTTCACATAAAAACTACACAGAAGCATTCTGACAAACTACCTTGTGATGTGTGCACTCATCTCACAGAGTTGAATCTTTCTTTTGATTGAGCAGTTTGGAAACACTCTTTTGAAGAATTTGCAAGTGGATCTTCGGAGAGCATTGAGGCCTATTGTAAAAAAGAAAATATCTTCAAATAAAAACTACACAAAAGAGTCTGAGATACTTTTTGCAATGTGTGCATTCATTTCACCTTTGTTTTGACTGTGCAGTTTGGAAATACTCTTAGTGCGATCTGCAAGTGGATATTTGCAGTGTTATGAGGCAAAGGAAATATTTTCCCATAAAAAATACACGGAAGCATTCTGAGAAACTTATTTGTGATGTGTGCATTCAACTCACGGAGTTGAATCTGTCTTTTGATAAGCAGTTTTGAAACTCTCTTTTTTTGGAATCTGCAGGTGGATATTTGGAGCGCTTTGAGGCCTATGGTGTAAAAGGTAATATCTTCACATAAAAACTACACAGTAGCATTCAAAGAAACTTCTTTCTGATGTGTGCATTCAACTCACAGAGTTGAACTTATCTTTTTATTGAGGAGCTTTGAAAATCTCTTTTTGTAGAATCTGCAACTGGATATTTAGAGCCCATTGCAGCCTGTGGTGGAAAATGTAATATCTTCGCTTAAAAGCTACACAGAAGCATTCTGAAAAAATTTCTTGGTTATGTGTACATTCACTTTACAGAGTTCAACATTTCTTTTTATTGAGCATTTTTAAACACTATTTTTGTAGAATCTTCAAGTGGATATTTGGAGTCTTTTGAGTCCTGTGTTGGAAAAGGAATTATCTTCACATAAAAACTATGTGGAAGCATTCTGAGAAACTTTTTTGTGATGTGTGCATTAATCTCACGGAGTTGAACATTGCTTTTGATTGAGCAGTTTTGAAACATTCTTTTTTGTAGGATCTGCAAGTGGATATTTGGAGCACTTTGAGGTCTATTGTGGAAAAGGAAATATATTCACATGAAAACAACACAGAAACATTCTGCCAAAATTCTTTGCGATGTGTGTGTTCATCTCACAGAGTTGAAGTTTTCTTTTTATTGAGCAGTTTTCAAACACTCTTTTTGTAATATCTCTAAGTGGATATTTGGAGCGCATTGAGACCTATGGTGGAAAAGGATATATCTTTGCATAAAATCTACACAGAAGCATTCTGAGAAACTTCTTTCTGATGTGTGCCTTCCAATCACAAATTTGAATATATCTTTTAATTGCACAGTTTTCAAACTCTCTTTTTGTAGAATCTGCAAGTGGATATTTGGAGCCCTTTGTGGCCTCTGGTGGAAAAGCAAATAACTTCAAATAAAAACTACACAGAAGCATTCTGAGAAACTTCATTGTCCTGTGTGCATTCATCCCAGAGAGTTGAACCTTTCTTTTCACTGAGCAGTTTTGAAACAGTCTTTTTGTAGAATCTGCAAGTGGATATTTGGAGACCCTTGAGGCCTATTGTGGAAAATATCTTCACATAAAAACAACACAGATGCATTCTGAGAAACTTCTTTGCAATGTGTGCATTCATCTCACAGAGTTCAACTTTCTTTTGATTGAGCAATTTTGAAACACACTTTTTGTAGAATCTGCAAGTAGATATTTGGAGTGCATTGAGGCCTATGGTGGAAAGGAAATATCTTCATTTAAAGCTACACAGAAGCATTCTGAGAAACTTCTTTGTGACATGTTTCTTTCAAGACACGGTGGCGAACATTTCTATTGATTGAGCAGTTTTAAAACCCACTATTTGTAGAATCTGCAAGTGGATATTTGTAGTGCTTAGAGGCCTATTGTGGAAAAGGAAATATCTCCACATAAAAACTACACAGAAGCATTCTGAGAAACTTGTTTGTGATGAGTGCATTCAGCTCACAGAGTTGAACTTATCTTTTGATTGAGCAATTTTGAAACTCTCTTTTTGTAGAATCTGCAAGTGGATATTTGGAGGCCTTTGCGGCCTATGGTGTAAAAGGAAATATTTTCACATAAAAACTACACAGAAGCATTCTGAGAAATGTCTTTTGACGTGTGCATTCATCTCATAGAGCGCTTTGAGGCCCATTGTGGAAAAGGAAATATCTTCACATAAAAACTACACAGAAGCATTCTGAGAAAGTTCTGTGTGACTTGTGCATTCATCTCACAGAGTTGTAAATCTCTTTTGATTGAGCAGTTTGGAAACACTCTTTTAGTAAAATCTACAAGTGGATACTTGGAGCGCTTTGAGGCCTATTGTAGAAATGGAAATATCTTCACATAAAAACTAAACAGAAGCATTCTGAGAAACTTCTTTGAGATGTGTGCATTGAACTCAGGGTTGTACCTATCTTTTGATAGAGGAGTTTTGAAACTCTCCTTATGTAGAATCTGCAAGTGAATATTTGGAGCCCTTTGTGACCTATGGTGTAAAAGGAAATACCTTCACATAAAAACTACACAGAAGCATTCTGAGAAACTCCTTTGTGATGTGTGCATTCTTCTCAAAGAGAAGAAACTTTAATTCGATTGGACAGTTTTGAAACACTCTTTTTGTAGAATCTGCAAGTGGATATTTGGAACGCTTTGGAGAGAATGGTGGAAATGGAAGAAATATCTTCATATAAAAACTATGGAGAAGCATTGTGAGAAACGTCTTTGTGATGTGTGCATTCAACTCACAGAGTTGAACCTTTCTTTTGATTGAGCAGTTTTGAATCCCTCTTTTTGTAGAATCTGCAAGTGGATATTTGGAGCGCTTTGGGGCCTCTGGTGAAATGAAATATCTTCACATAAAAATTATACAAAAGCACTCTGAGAAGCTTCTTTGTGATGTGTGCATACAACCCACAGAGTTGAACCATTCTTTTGATTGTGCAGTTATGAAACACTCTTTTTGTAGAATCTGCAAGTAGATACTCGGAGGGCTTTGTGGAGTATTGTGGAAAAGGAAATAACTTTGCATAAAAGCTAGACAGACGCATCCTGAGAAACTTCTTTGTGATGTGTGCATTCAACTCACAGAGTTGAACCTTTCTTTTGATTGAGCAGTTTTGAAACACTATTTTTGTAGAATCTGCAAGTGGATATTTGGTGCACTTTGCAGCCGATGGTGGAAAAGCAAATATCTTCACGTAACAACTAGACAGAAGCATTCTGAGAATCTTCTTTGTGATGTGTTCATTCACCTCACAGAGTTTTAACTTTTTTTATTGAGGAGGTTTGAAACACTCTTTTTGTAGAATCAGCAAGTGGGTGTTTGGAACACTTTGTGGCCTATAGTGGAAAAGGATGCACATTCACATAAAAACTAGAGAGAAGCATTCTGAAAAACTTTTTTGATGTGTGCATTCATCTCAAAGAGTTCAACCGTTCTTTTGATTGAACAGTTTTGAAACACGCTTTTTGGAGAAACTGTAAGTGGATATTTGGAGCGCTTTGAGGCCTACGGTGGTAAAGGAAATATCTTCACATAAAAACTACACAGAAGCATTCTGAGATACTTCTTTGTGATGTTTGCATTCATCTCACATAGTTGAACCATTCTTTTGATTGAGCAGGTTTTGAAACACTCTCTTTGTAGAATGTGCAAGTGGATATTTGGAACTCTTTGATGAGTATGGTGGAAAAGGAAATATCTTCACATAAAAACTAGACAGAAGTACTCTGAGAAACTTCTTTGTGATGTGTGCATTCATCTCACAGATTTGAAAATTTCTTTTGATTGAGCAGTTTTGAACCTCTGTTTTTTTAGGATCTGCCAGGGGATATCTGGAGTGCTTTCAGGCCTATGGTGGAGAAGGAAATATCCTCACATAAAAACTAGAGAGAAGCATTCTGAGAAACTTCTTTGTGATGTGTGCATACATCGCACAGAGTTTAAACTTTCTATTGATTTAGCATTTTTTAAACACTTTTTGTAGGATCTGCGGTGGATATTTGGAGCCCTTTGGGGCCTATGGTGGACAAGAATTATCTTCTCATAGAAACTAGACAGAAGCATTCCGAGAAACTTCTTTGTGATGTGTGCGTTCATCTCACAGATTTGAACCTTTCCTTTGATTGAGCAGTTTTGAAACACTCTTTTGGTAGAATCTGCAAGTGCATATTTAGAGCGCTTTGAAGCATGTGGTGGAAAAGGAAATATCTTCACATAAACACTAGACAGAAGCATTCTGAGAAATGTCTTTGTGATGTGTCCATTCATCTAACAGAGTTTAAACTTTCTTTTCATTGAGCAGTTTTGAAACACTCTTTTTATAGAATCTGCAAGTGGATATTTGGAGCGCTTTGGAGAGAATGGTGGAAATGGAAATATCTTCATATAAAAACTATGGAGAAGCATTCTGAGAAACGGCTTTGTTATGTGTGCCTTCAACTCACAGAGTTGAACCTTTCTTTTGATTGAGCAGTTTTGAATCCCTCTTTCTGTATAATCTGCAAGTGGATATTTGGAGAGCTTTGGGGCCTATGGTGGAAAAGGAAATATCTTCACATAAAAACTACACAAAAGCATTCTGAGAAACTTCTTTCTGACGTGTGCATACAACTCACAGAGTTGAAACTTTCTTTTGATTGTGCAGTTTTGAAACACTTCTTTTGTAGAATCTGCAAGTGGATATTCGGAGGGCTTTGTGGAGTATAGTGGAAAAGGAAATAACTTTGGATAAAAGCTAGACAGCAGCATTCTGAGAAACTTCTTTGTGATGTGTGCATTCAACTCACATAGTTGAACCTTTCTTTTGTTTGAGCAGTTTTGAAACACTATTTTTGTAAAATCTGCAAGTGGATACTTGGTGCGCTTTGTGGCCTATGGTGGAAAAGCAAATATATTCACATAAAAACTAGAGAGAAGCATTCTGAGAATGTTCTTTGTGATGTATGCATTCACCTCACAGAGCTGAAACTTTTTTGTTGAGGAGGTTTAAAACACTCTTTTTGTAGAATCCGCAAGTGGGTGTTTGGAGGACTTTGTGGCCTATAGTGGAAAAGGATGTATATTCACATAAAAACTAGACAGAAGCATTCTGAAAAATTACTTTGTGATGTGTGCATTCATCACAAAGAGTTGAACCTTTCTTTTGGTTGAGCAGTTTTAAAGCACTCTTTTTGTAGAATCTGTAAGTGGATATTTGGAGCACTTTGAGGCCTATGGTGGTAAAGGAAATATCTTCACATAAAAACTACACAGAAGCATTCTGAGAAACTTCTGTGTGATGTGTACATTCATCTCACAGGGTTGAACCTTTCTTTTGTTTGAGCAGTATTCAAACACTGTTTTTGTGGAATCTGCAATTCGATATTTGGAGAGCTTTGAGGCCTATGTTGGTAAAGGAAATATCTTCAAATAAAATCTGGACAGAAGCATTCTGAGAAACTACTTTGTGATGTGTGCATTCAACTCAAAAAGTTTAACGTATCTTTGAGGAGTTTGGTAACATTCTTTTTGTAGCATCTGCAAATGTATATTTGGAGCACTTTGAGGCCTATAGTTGAAAAGGAAATATCTTCTCATAAAAACCAGACAAAAGCATTCTCAGAAACTCCTTTATGATGTGTGCTTTTATCTCACAGAATTCAACATTTCTTTTCATTGAGCAGTTTTGAAACACATTTTTTGTGGAATCTGCAATTGGATATTTGGAACGCTTTGCTTCCTATAGTGGAAAAGGAAAAACATCTTCACATAAAAACTAGACAGAAGCATTCTGGGAATCTTCTCTGTGACGAGTGCATTCATCTCACTGGGTGGAACCTTTCTTTTGATTAAGTAGTTTTGACACACTCTTTTTGTAGAATCTGCAGGTAGATATATGGAACACTTTGAGGCCTATGGTGGAAAAGGAATTATCTTCACATAAAAACTACACAGAAGCATTCTGAGAAACTTCTTTATGATGTGTGCAGTCATCTCACAGAGTTGAAACTTTGTTTTGATTGAGCAGTTTGGAAACACCATTTTTGTAGAATCTGTAAGTGGATATTTGGAGTGCTTTGTTCCCTATGGTAGAGGAAATATCTTCACATAAAACTAGACAGAAGCATTCTGAGAAACTTCTTTGTCATGTGTGCATTCATCTCACACAGTTGAACCTTTCTTTTGATTCATCAGTTTTGAAACACTCTTTTTGAGGAATATGCAAGTGGATATTTGAAGCGCTTTGTGGCCTATAGTGGAAAATTTTATATTTTCACATAAAAACTAGACAGAAGCATTCTGAGAAACTTCTTTGGGATATGTGCATTCATCTCACAGACTTGAAACTTTCTTTTGATTTAGCACTTTATAAACACCCTTTTGTAAAATCTGCAAGTGGATATTTTGAGCGCTTTGCATCCTCTAGTGGAAAAGGAAATATCTTCACACAGAAAAAAGACAGAAGCATTCTGAGAAACATGTTTGTGATGTGAGCTTTCCTCCCACAGAGTTGAACCTTTCTTTTGATTGAGCAGTTTTGAAACACACTTTTTATTGAAACTGCAATTGGATATTTGGAGAGCCTTGGGGCCTATGGTGGAAAAGTAAATATCTTCACATAAAAACTGCACAGAGGTATTCTGAGAAACTTCCTTCTGATGTGTGCATTCAGTTCACTGAATTGTACCTTTCCTTTGATTGAGCAGTTTTGAAACACTCTTTTGAAGAATCTGCAATTGGATATTTCAAGAGCTTTCCAGCCTCAAGTGGAAAAGGAAATATCTTCACATAAAAAATAGATAGAAGCATTCTGTGAAACTTTTTGTGATGTGTGCATTCTTCTCACAGAGTTGAACTTTTCTTTTGATTGAGCAATTTTGAAACACTCTTTTTGTAGAATCTGCAAGTGGATATTTGGAGCTCTTTCAGTCCTATGGTGGTAAAGGAAATAACTTCACATACAAACTAGACAGAAGCATTCTGAGAAACTCCTTTGTGATGTGTGCATTCATCTCACAGGTTTGAACCTTTCTTTTGATTGAGCAGTTTTGAAAGACACTTTTTGTAGAATCTGAAGGTGGATATTTGGAATACTTTGGGGCCTATGGTATAAAAGGAAATATTTTCACATAAAAACTAGACAGAGCATTCTGAGAAACAACTTTGTGATGCGTGCTTTCATCTCACAGAGTTGAACGTTTCTTTTGATTGAGTAGTGTTGAAACGCACATTTGTAGACTCTACCAGTGGATATTTGGATTACTTTGGGGCCTATGGTGGAAAAGGATATATCTTCACATAAAAACTAGACAGAAGCATTCTGAGAAACTTCTTTGTGATGTGTGCATTCAACTAACACTGTTGAACCCTTTTTTTGATTGAGCAGTTTTGAAAGACTCTTTTTGTAGAATCTGCAAGTGGATATTCAGAGCACTTTGCAGACTACAGTTTAAAAGGGAATATCTTCACCTAAAAACTAGACAGAAGCATTCTGAGAAACTTTGTTGTAATGTGTGCATTCAACTAACAGAGTTGAACCTTTCCTTTGATTGAGCAGTCTGGAAACACTTTTTTTGAAGAATCTGCAAGTGGATATTTGGAGCGCTTTACAGCCTATTGTGGAAAAGGATAAATCATCAAATAAAAACTAGACAGAAGCATTCTGAGAAACTTCTTTGTGAGATGTGCATTCATCTCACAGACTTGAACCTTTCTTTCTATCGAACAGTTTTGAAACACTCTTTTTGTAGAATCTGCAAGGGATACTTGAAGAGATTTGAGACGTAATGTGGAAAAGGAAATATCTTCACACGAAAACTAGACAGAAGCATTCTGAGAATCTTCTTTGTGATGTGTGCATTCATCTCACAGAGCTGAAACTTTCTTTTGATTCAGCATTTTTGAAATACTCTATTTATGGAATCTGCTTGTAGATTTTTGGAGCACTATGAGGCGTGTGGTGGAAAAGGAAATATCGTCACATGAAAACTAGACAGAAGCATTCTGAGAAAATTCTTTGTGATGTGCACATTCAACTCACAGAGTTGAACCTTTCTTTTGATTGAGCAGTTTGGAAACACTCTTTTTGTAGTATCTGCAAGTGGATATATGGAGCGCTTTGTGGCTTATAGTGGATAAGGAAATATCTTCATATAAAAACCAGACAGAAACATGCTGAGGAACTTCTTCGTGTTGTGTGCATTCATCTCACAGAGTTGAACATTTCCTATATTGGGAAGTTTGAAACACTCTTTTTACAAAATCTGCAAGTTGATATTTGGAGCACTTTGTGGCATATATTGGAAAAGGAAATATCTTCACATATCTACAAGACAGAAGCATTCTGGGAAACTACTTTGTGATGTGCATTCAATTCACAGAGCTGAATATTTTCTTTGATTGAGCTGGTTGGAAAGCATCTTTCTGTAGTATCTGCAAATGGACATTTTGAGTTCTTTGAGGCCTATGGTGGAAAAGGAAATATCTTCACATAAAAACTAGACAGAAGCACTTTGAGAAATTTCTTTGTGAAGTGTGCATTCATCTGACAGAGTTGAACCTTTGTTTTGATTAAGCAGTTGGGAAACAGTCCTTTTGTAGGATCTGCAAAGGGATATTTCTGAGCCCATTGAGACCTATGGTGAAAGAGGAAATATCTTCACTTAAAAACTAGACAGAAGCATTCTGAGAAACTTCTTAGTGATGTGTGCTTTCATCTCACAGGTTTGAACCTTTCTTTTAATTGAGCAGTTTGGAAACAGTCTTTTTGTGGAATCTGCAAAGGATAATTCAAGCACTTTGAGGCCTATGGTGAAAAAGGACATATCTTCACATGAAATCTAAACAGAAGCTTTCTGAGAAACTTCTTTTTGATGAGTGCATACATCTCACAGAGGTGAAACTTTCTTTTCATTGAACAGCTTGGAAACAGTCTTTTTGTACAATCTGCAAAGGAATATTTCTGCGAAGTTAGAGGCCTATGGTGAAAAAGAAATATCTTCAGATAAAATGTAGACAGAAGTATTCTGAGAAAATTTTTTGTGATGTATCCATTCATCTCACAGAGTTGAACTTTTCTTTTGATGGAGCAGTCTGGAAACAGTCTTTTTGTAGTATCTGAAGAGGTATATGTGAGAGCAGTTTAAGGCCTGTGGTGAAAAAGGAAATATCTTCACATAAAAACTAGGTAGAAGCATTCTGAGAAACTTCTTTGTGTTGTGTGCATTCATCTCAAAGAGCTGAACCTGTCTTTGGATTGAGTACTTCGGAAACAGTCGTTTTGTAGAATCTGTGAAGGGATATTTCTGAGCCCATTGAGGCCTATGGATGAAATAGGAAATATCTTCACATAAAAACTAGACAGAGGATTTCTGAGAAACTTCTTTGTGATATGTACTTTCATCTCACAGAGTTGAACCATTCTTTTGGTTGAGCAGTTTGGAAACAGTCTTTTTGTAGGATCTGCAAAGGGATATTTCTTTTCCCATGGATGCCTATGGTGAAAAAGGACATATCTTCACATAAAAACTAGACAGAGGATTTCTGAGAAACTTCTTTGTGATATGTACTTTCATCTCACAGAGTTGAACCATTCTTTTGGTTGAGCAGTTTGGAAACAGTCTTTTTGTAGGATCTGCAAAGGGATATTTCTTTTCCCATGGATGCCTATGGTGAAAAAGGACATATCTTCACATAAAAACTAGACAGAAGCTTTCTGATAAACTTCTTAGTGATGTGTGCTTTCATGTCACAGATTTGAAACTTTCTTTTGATTGAGCAGTTTGGAACCAGTCTTTTTGTACAATCTGCAAATGGATATTTGGAGCGCTTTGAGGCTTGTGGTGAAAAAGGAACTATCTTCACATGAAAAATAAACAGAAGCTTTCTGAGAAACTTCTTTTTGATGTGTGCATACATCACACAGAGTTGAAAGTTTCTTTTCATTGAGAAGTTTGGATACAGTCTTTTTGTACAATCTGGAAAGGGATATTTCTGAGAAGTTGGAAGCCTATATCAAAAAAGAAATATCTTCACATAAAAACTAGACAGAAGTATTCTGAGAAACTTCTTTGAGATGTATCCTTTCATCTCACAGAGTTGAATCTTATTTTGATGGAGCAGTTTGGAGACAGTCTTTTTGTAGCATCTGCAGAGGGATATCTGAGAGCAGTTTAAGGCCTATGGTGAAAAAGGAAACATCTTCACATAAAAACTAGGCAGAAGCATTCTGAGAAACTTCTTTGTGATGTATGCATTCAACTCAAAGAGGTGAAACTTTCTTTGGATTGAGCAGTTTGGAAACAGTCCTTTTGTAGAATCTGCAAAGGGTTGTTTCTCAGCCCATTGAGACCTATGGTGAAATAGGAAATATCTTCTCATAAAAACCAGACAGAAGCTTTCTGAGAAACTTCTTTGAGATATGTGCTTTCATCTCACAGAGTTGAACCTTTCTTTTGGTTCAGCAGTTTGGAAACAGTCTTTGTGTAGAATCTGCAAAGGGCTATTTTTGAGCACTTTCTGGACTATGGTGAAAGAGAAAATATCTTCACATAAAAACAAGACAGAAGCTTTCCGAGAAACTTCTTTATGATGTGTTCTTTCATCTCACAGAGTTGTAACTTTCCTTTGATTGAGCAGTTTGGGAACACTCTTTTTGTAGAATCCGCAAATGGATATTTGGAGCTCTTTGAGGCCTATGGTGAAAAAGGAAATATCTTCACATAAAAACTAGACAGAAGCATTCTGAGAAACTTCTTTGTGATGGGTGCATTCAACTCAAAAAGTTGAACATTTATTTTGATTGAGTAGTTTGGAAACAGTCTTTTTGTAGAATCTGCAAGTGGATATTTGGAGTGCTTTACGGCCTATAGTGGAAAACGAAATATTTTCACATAAAAACTAGACAGAATCATTCTGAGAAACTTCTTTGTGATGTGCACATTCATCACAAAGAGTTGAACATTTCTTTCAATTGAGCATCTTGGAAACAGTCCTCTTGTAGAATCTGTGAAGGGATATTTCTCAGCCCATTGATGCCTATGGATGAAATAAGAAATATTCTCACATAAAAACTAGATGGAGAATTTCTGAGAAACTTCTTTGTGATATGTGGTTTCATCTCACAGAGTTGAACCGTTCTTTTGGTTGAGAAGTTTGGAAACACTCTTTTTGTAGAATCTGCAAGCGGATATTTGGAGCACATTGAGGCCTATGGTGGAAAACGAAATATTTTCACATAAAAATTAGACAGAAGCATTCTGAGAAACTTCTTTGTGATGTGTGCATTCAACCCACAGAGTTCAACCTTTCTTTTGATTCAGCAGTTTTGAAACACTCTTTTTGTAAAATCTGCCAGTGGATCTTTGGAGTGCTTTGAGGCTTATGGTGGAAAAGGAAATATCTTCACATAAATACTACACAGAAGCATTCTGAGATACTCCTTTGTGATGTGTGCATTCAACTCAAAGAGTGGAATCCTTCTTTTGATTGAGCAGTTTTGAAAGACTCCTTTTGTAGAATCTGCAAGTGGATCTTTGGAGTGCTATGTGGCCTTAAGTGGAAAAGGCAATATCTGCACATAAAAACTAGACAACAGCATTCTGAGAAACTTCTTTGTGCTGTGTGCCTTCATCTCACAGAGTTGAAGCTTCCTTTTGATTGAGCAGTTTTGAAACACTCTTTCTGTAGAATCTCCAATTAGATACTTGGAGCGCTTTGAGGCCTATGGTGGAAAAGGAAATAACTTCACATGAAAACTACACAGAAGCATTCTGAGAAATTTGTTTGTGATGTGTGCATTCAACACACAGAGTTGAACCTTTCTTTTGATTGAACAGTTTTCAAACACACTTTTTTTAGGATCTGCAAGAGGATATTTGGAGCACTTTGTGGCCTATTGTGGAAAAGGATATATCTTCACATGAAAACTACGGAGAAGCATTCTGAGAAACTTTTTGTGATGTGTGCATTCATCTCACAAAGTTCAACATTTCTTTTGATTGAGCAGTTTTGAAACGCTCTTTTTGTAGAGTGTGCAAGTGGATATTTGGAGCACTTTGAGGCTTATGGTGGAAAAGGAAATGTCTTCATATAAAAACTACAGAGAAGCATTCTGACAAAGTTATTTGTGCTATGTGTGTTCATCTCACAGAGTTGAACCTTTCTTTTGATTGAGCAGTTTTGAAATGCTCTTTTTTTAGAATCTGAGAGTCGATATTTCAAGTGCTTTGTAGCCTCTGTTGGAAAAGGAAATATCTTCACATAAATTAGACAGAAGCATTCTGAGAAACTTCCTTGTGATGCGTGCATTCATCTCACAGAATTGAACCTTTCTTTTAACTCTGAAGTTTTCAAACACTCTTTTTGTAGAATCTGCAAGTGGATATTTGGAGGCCTTTGTGGCCTATAGGGGAAAAGGAAATATATTCACATAAAAATTAGACAGAAGCATTCTGAGAAACATCTTTGTGATATGTGCATTCATTTCACAGAGTTGAAATTTTCTTTTTATTGACCAGTTTTGAAACACTCTTTCAGTACAGTCTGCCAGTGGATATTTGTAGCATTTTGAGAACTATGGTGGTAAACGAAATATGTATTCACAGAAGCATTCTGTGATACTTCTTTGTGATGTGTGCATTCATCTCACAGAGTTGAGCCATTCTTTTGATTGAGCATTTTTGAAATACTGTTTTTGTAGAATCTGCAAGTGGATATTTGGAGTGCTTTGTGGCCTATAGTGGTGAAGGAAATATATTCACATAAAAACTAGACAGAAGCATTCTGAGAAAGTTCTTTGCTATGTGTGAATTCAATTCACAGACTTGAACCTTTTTTTTGATTGAGCAGTGTTGAATGTCTCTTTTTGTAGAATCTGCAGATGGATATTTGGAGTGCTTTTAGGCCTATGGTGGAAAAGGAAATATCTTCACATAAAAACTACAGAGAAGCATTCTGAGAAACTTCTTTGTGATGTGTGCATTCAACTCACAGTGTTCAACCTTTCTTTTGATTGAGCAGTTTTGAAACACTCTTTTTGTAAAATCTGCCAGTGGATATTTGGAGTGCTTTGTGGCCTATAGTGGTGAAGGAAATATATTCACATAAAAACTAGACAGAAGCATTCTGAGAAACTTCTTTGTGATGTGTGCATTCAAGTCACTGAATGGAAACCTTCTTTTGATAGAGCAATTTTGAAAGACTCCTTTTGTAGAACCTGCAATTGTATATTTGGAGTGCTATGTGGCCTTAAGCCAGACAGAAGCATTCTGAGAAATTTCTTTGTGATGTGTGCATTCAGCTCACAGAGTTGAAGCTTTCTTTTGATTGAGCAGTTTTGAAACACCATTTTTGTAGAATCTGCAAGTGGATATTTGGAGCACTTTGCGGTCTATAGTGGAAAACGAAATATCTTCACATAAATATTAGTCAGAAGCATTCTGACAAACTTCTTCTTGATGTGTGCATTCATCTCACAGAGTTGAACCTTTCTTTTGATTGAGCAGTTTTGAAACACTCTTTTTGTAGTATCTGCAAAGGCATACTTGGATCAGTTTGAAGTCTATGGTGTAAAAGGAAATATCTTCACCTAAAAACTAGACAGAAGCATTCTGAGAAACTTATTTGTTGTGTGTGCATTCATATCACTCTCTTGATCCATTCTTTTTACTGAGCAGTTTTGAAACACTCTTTGTGTAGAATCTGCAAGTTGATATTTGGAGCACCTTGAGGCCTATTGTGGAAAATGAAATGTCTTCACATAAAAACTAAACAGAAGCATACTGAAAAACTTCTTTGTGATGTGAGCATTCATCTCAGAGCTGAAACTTTCTTTTGATTGAGCAGTTTTGAAACAATCTTTTTGTAAAGTGTGCAAGTGGATATTTGGAGCGCTTTGATGCTTATGGTGGAAAAGCAAATATCTTCACATAAAAACTACAGGGAAGTATTCTGACAAAGTTCTTTGTGCTCTGTGCGTTCAACCCACAGAGTTGAACTTTCCTTTGATTGAGCAGTTTTGAAACACTCTTTTTTTAGATTCTGCAAGTGGATTTTTTGAGCGCTTTGTGGCCTCTGTTGGAAAAGAAAATATCTTCACATAAACTAGACAGAAGCATTCTGAGAAATTTCCTTGTGATGTGTGCCTTCATCGCACAGAGTTGAACCTTTCCTTTGATTGAGCAGTTCTGAAATACTCTTTTTGTAGAATCTGCAAGTGGATATTTGGAGTGCTGTGTGGCTTCTGGTGGAAAAGGAAATATCTTCACATCAAAACTAGAGAGAAGCATTCTGAGAAAGTTCTTCACGATGTGTGCATTCATCTCACAGAGATAAACCTTTCTTTTGATTGAGCAGTTTTGAAACACTCTTTTTGTAGAACCTTCAGGTGGATATGTGGAGCACTTTGAGGCCATGATAGAAAAGGAAATATCTTCACATAAAAACTAGACGGAATCATTCTAAGATACTTCTTTTTGATGTGCACATTGAACTCATGGAGTTGAACATCTCTTTTGATTGAGCAGTTTTGAAACAGTCTTTTTGTGGAATCAACAGTCGGATATTTAGAGCACTTTGAGGCCTATGGTGGAAAAGGAAATATCTTCACATAAAAACTAGACAGAAGCATTCTGAGAAACTTTTTTGTGATGTGTGCATTCAACTCACCGAGTTGAACATGTCTTTTTATTGAGCAGGTTGGATACATTCGTTTTGTACCATCTGCAAATTTGTATTTGGACAGCTTTGAGGCCTATAGTGGAAAAGGAAATATCTGCACATAAAAACTAGACAGAAACATTCGGAGAACCTTCTTTGTGATGTGTGGATTCATCTCACAGAGTTGAACCAATCTTTTCATGAGCAGTTTTGAAACACTCTTTTTGTAGAATCTGCAAGTGGATATTTGGATCACTTTGAGGCATATGGTGGAAAAGAATGTATCTTCACATAAAAACTAGCCAGAAGCATTCTGAGAAACTTCTTTGTGATGTGTGTATTCAACTCACAAAGTTGAACCTTTATTTTGATTGAGCAGTTTTGAAACACACTTTTTATAGACTCTGCAATTTGATATTTGGAGCACTCTGTGGCCTATAGTGGAAAAGGAAATATCTTCACTTAAAAACTACAGGGAATCATTCTGAGAAACTTCTTTGTGATGTGTGCTTTCAGGTCACAGAGTTGAACCTTTCTTTTGATTGAGCAGTTTTGAAACACTCTTTTTGTAGAATCTGCAAATGGATATTTAGAGCACTTTGACGCCTATGGTGGAAAAGGAAATATCTTCACATAAAAACTAGACAGAAGCATTCTGAGAAACTTCTTTGTGTTGTGTGCATTCATCCCACAGAGTTGAACTTTCTTTTTGTTGAGCAATTTTGAAACACTCTTTTTGTAGAATCTGCCATTGAATATTTGAAGCGCTATGAATCCTATAGTGGAAAACGACATATCTTCACATAAGAACTATAAAGCAGGTTTTGTAAAAACAACCTTGTGGTGTGTGCATTCATCTCACAGAGGTAAGTGTTTCTTTTCTCCAATCAGTCTGGAAACTCTGTTCTTGTACAATCTCAAAGGGGGTATTTTTGAGCACTTTGAGGCCTTTCTTGACAAAGGAAATATCTTCACATTCAAAGTATAAAGAACGTTTCTGAGATACTTCTTTGTGATATGTGCATTCATCTCACAGATTTGAACGTCTCTTTTAATTCAGCCGTTTGGAAACAGTCTTTTTGAAGAATCTGCAAACGGATATTTGTGAGCACTCTGAGGCCTATGCAGGAAAAGAGGTATCTTCACAGAAAACTATAAAGAAGTTTTCTGAGAAACTGTTTTGTGATGTCTGCATTCATCTCGCAGAGGTAAACGATTCTTTTCTTTGATCAGTTGGGAAACTCTGTTCTTGTATAATCTGCTAAGAGACATTTTTGAGTGCCTGGAGCCCTATGGTGAAAAACAAATTGTCTTCACATAAAAACTAGACAGAAGCCTACTGAGAAACTTCTTGGTGATGTGTGCATTCATCTCACAGAATTGAAACTTTCTTTTGATTGAGCAGTTTGGGAACATCTTTTTGTGGAATTTGTAAAGGGATATTTCTGAGTACTTTGAGGTCTATGGTGAAAGAGAAAGTATCTTCACATAAAAACTACACTAAAGATTTCTGAGAAACTGCTTTGTGATGTATGCATTCACCTCTCAGAGTTCAACAATTCTTTTGATTGAGCAGTTGGGAAACCGTCTTTTTGTAGAATCTGCAAAGGTATATTTGTGAGCGCTTTGAGTCCTATGGTTAAAAGGAAATATCTTCACATAAAAACTATAAAGAAGGTTTGTGAGAAACTTCTTTATGATGTGTGCATTCATCTCACAGAGTTGAACCATTCCTTTGATTCAGCGGTTTAGAAACAGTCTTTTTTTAGGATCTGCAAAGGGATATTTTTGAGCACTTTGAGGCCCATGGTGAAAAAGGAAACACTTTCACATAAAAACGAGATAGAAGCTTTCTGAGAATCATCTTTTTGATATGTGCATTCATCCCATAGAGGTGAACCTTTCTTTTGATGAGCATTTTGGAAACAGTATTTTGTAGAATTTCCAAAGGGTTATTAGTTAACGTTTTGTGTCCTATGTTGGAAAAGGAATTATTTTTACATAAAACCTAGACAGAATATTTCTGAGAAACTGCTCTGTGATGTGTGCTTTCATCTCACAGAGGTAACCATTTCTTTTCATTGAACAGATTGGAAATTATGTTCTTGTAAAATCTGCAAAGGAATATTTGTCAGCACTTTGAGGCCTATGGTGAAAAAGGAATTATCTTCACATAAAAAGTAGACAGAAGCTTTCTGTGAAACATCTTGGAGATGCGAGAATTCATCTCACAGAGTTGAAACATTCTTTTGATTGGGCAGTTTGTAAACAATATATTGGTAGAATCTGAAAAGGGATATTTGTGATGCTTTGGAAGCCTATGGTGAAAAACAAAATATTTTCACATGAAAACTAGAGAGAAGCCTTCTGAGAAAACTCCTTGTGATGTGTGCATTCATCTCACAGATTTAACCTTCATTGGATTGCACAATTTGGAAGCAGTATTTTTGTAGAATCTGTAAAGGCATATTTTTGAGAGCTATGAGGCCCATGATGAAATAGGAAATATCTTCACATAAAAACTAGACAGAAGCTTTCCAAGAAACTTCTTTGTGATGTGTGCATTCATCTCGTGGAGTTCAACCATTCTTTTGATTGAACAGTTTGGAAACACCCTTTTTGTAGAATCTGCAAAGGGATATTTATGAGTGCTTTGAGGCCTATGGGGAAAAGGAAATGTATTCACATAAAAAGTATAAACAAGGTTTCTCAGAAACAGTTTTGTGATGTAGGCATTCGTCTCACAGAAGTAAACGTTTCTTTTCTCTGATCTGTCTGGAAACTGTTCTTGTAGAGTCTGCAAAGGGATAT
>NC_000020.11:28754770-28757831 GCF_000001405.40 Homo sapiens | reverse complement strand
GTCTGTTTGTGGAATCTGCAAAGGGATATTTATGAGAGCTTTGGGCCCAATGGTGAAAAAAGAAAATATATTCATATAAAAGGTATAAAGGTTTCTTAGAAACAGCTTTGTGGTGTGTGTATTGATCTCAGAGAGGTAAACGTTTATTTTCTATGATCTGTCTGGAAACTCTGTTCTTGTAGAATCTGCAAAGGGATATTTGTGAGTGCTTTAAGGCCTATGGTGAAAAAGGAAATATCTTCACTTAAAAACTAGACAGAAGCTTTCTTAGTGGCTTCTTTGTGATGTGTGCAATCATCTCACAGAGTTGAACCATTCTTTTGATTGAGCAGTCTGGAAACAGTCTTTTTGTAGAAGCTGCAAGGGATATTTGTCACGACTTGGAGTGCTATGGTGAAAAAGGAAATATCTTCACATAAAAAATGGACAGAAGATTTCTGAGAAACCTTCTTGTGATGTGTGCATCCATCTCACAGAGTTCAAACATTTATTTGATTGAGCAGTTGGGAAGCAGTCTTTTTGCAGAATCTACAAAGAGATATTGCTGAGCACTTTGAGGCCTGTGGTGAAAAAGGAAATATCTTCACATAAAAACTATAAACAAGGTTTCTGAGAAACTTCTTTGTGATGTATGCATTCATCTCACGGAGTTGAACTATTCTTTTGATTGACCACTTCGGAAACAATCTTTTTGTAGAATCTGCAAAGGGATATTCTTGAGCTCTTTGAGTCCTGGAGAGAAAAAAGAAATATCATCACATAAAAAGTATAAAGAAGGTTTCTGAGAAACAGTTTTGTGACGTGTGCATTCATCTCACAGAGAAAAACGTTTGTTTTATTTGATCAGTGTGGAAATTCTGTTCTTGTAGAATCTGCTAAGGGATATTTTTGAGCAGATGGAGGCCTATGGTGAAAAAGGAAATGTCTTCGTATAAAAATTAGACAGAAGCCTCCTGCGAAACTTTTTAATGATGTGTGCATTCATCTCACAGAGTTGAAACTTTCTTTTCATTGAGCCATTTGGAAACAGTCTTTTTGTGGACTCTGCAAATGGATATTTGGAGCACTTTGAGGCCTATGGTGAAAAATGAAATATATTCACATAAAAACCAGACTGGAAGTTTCTGAGAAACTTCTTTGAGATGTGTGCATTCATCTCACAAAGTTCAATAATTCTTTTTATTGAGCGGTTTGGAAACAGTCTTTTTGTAGAATCTGCATAGGGATATTTGTGAGGGCTTTGAGGTCTATGGTGAAAAAGGAAATATCTTCACAGAAAAACTATAAAGGAGGCTTCTGAGGAACTTCTTTGTGATGTGTGCATTCATCTCACATACTTCAAACTTTCTTTTGATTGAGCAGTTTGGAAACAGTCTTTTTAAATATTCTTCTAGTGGATGCTTGTGAGCACCTTGAGGCTCATGGGGAAAAAGAAAACATTCACATAAAAACTTAATAGAAGCTTTCTGAGAAACTACTTTTTGACATGTGCATTCATCTCATACAGTTGAACGTTTCTTTTGATGAGCAGTGTGGAAACTATCTTTTTGTAGAATCTGCAAAGGGACATTTTTGAGCACTTTGCATCCTGTGGTGGAAAAGGAGATACCTTCACATAAAAACTAGACAGAATGTTTCTCAGAAACTGCTTTGTGATATGTGCATTCACCTCCCAGATATGCCTGTTTCTTTTCATTGAGAAGATTGGAAACTCTTTTCTTGTAAGATCTGCAAAGGGATATTTGTGAGCCCTTTGAGGTGTATGGTGAAAAAGGACATATCTTCACATAAAAAGTACACAGAAGCTTTCTGAGAAACATCGTGGTGATGTGAGCATTCACTTCACAGTGTTGAAACATTCTTTTGATTGAGCAATGTGTAAAGAGTCTTTTTGTAGAATCTGCAAAGGGATATTTGTGAATGCTTAGAGGCCTATGGTGAAAAAGGAAATATCTTCACATAAAAACTAGAGAGAAGCTTTCTGAGAAACCTCTTTGTGGTGTGCATACATCTCACAGAGTTGAACCTTTCTTTTGATTGAGCAATTTGGAAGAAGTATTTTTGTAGAAGCTGTAAAGAGATATTTGTGAGCACTTTGAGGCTTATGGTGAAAAACTAGACAGAAGCATCCTGAGAAACTGCTTTGTGACATGTGCATTCATCACACAGAGTTGAACCTTTGTTTTGATTGAGCCGTTTGGAAACAGTCTTTTTGTAGACTCTGCAAATGGATATTTGGAGCACTTTGAGGCCTATCGTGAAAAAGGAAATATATTCACATAAAAACTAGACTGAAGGATTCTGAAAACTTCTTTGAGCTGTGTGCATTCATCTGACAGTGTTCAATAATTCTTTTTATTGAGCCATTTGGAAACAGTCTTTTTGTAGAATCTGCAAAGGGATATTTGGGAGGTCTTTGAGGCCTATGTTGAAAAAGGAAATATCTTCACAGAAAAACCATAAAGAAGGTTTCTGAGAAATTTCTTTGGATGTGTGCATTCACCACACAGAGGTGAAACATTCTTTGGATTGAGCAGTTTGCAAACAGTCTTTTTGTAGAATCTGCAGAGGGATATTTGTAGCACTTTGAGGCCTATGTGAATAAGGAAATATCTTCACATAAAAACTAGACAAAAGTTTTCTGAGAAAAATTTTGTGATGTGTGCATTTATCTCATAGAGTTTAACATTTGTTTTGATTGAGCAGTTTGGAAACAGTCTTTTTGTACAATCTGCAAAGGGATATTTAGGAGCAAGTTGAGACCTATGGTGAAAAAGGAAATATCTTCACATAAAAACTAGAAAGAAGCATTCTGAGAAACTGCTTTAAGATATGTGTGTTCATCTCACAGAGGTAAACATTTCTTTTCATTGAGCAGTTTGTAAACTCTGTTATTCTAGAGTCTGCAAAGGGATATTTTTGAGTGCTTTGAGACCCATGTTGAAAAAGGAAATATCTTCACATAAAAACTAGTGAGAAGTTTGCTGAGAAACTACTTTCTGATGTGTGCATTCATCTAACAGAGTTGAAAGTTTCTTTTGATTGAGCAGTTTGGAAACAG
>NC_000020.11:28752590-28754750 GCF_000001405.40 Homo sapiens | reverse complement strand
AAAACTTCCACTCTGCGAGATGAATGCACACATCACAGAGAAGTTTCTCAGAAAGTTTCTGTCTAGTTTTTATTTGCTGATACTCTCTTTTTCACCATAGACCTCAAACCTCCCATAAATAACCCTTTGCAGATTCTACAAAAAGACTGTTTCCAAACTACTCAATCGCAAGAAAGCTTCACCTCTGTGAGGTGAATGCACACATCACAAAGAAGTTTCTCAGAAAGCTTCTACCTAGTAAAAACTAGATGTTGAAGATGTTGAAGATGTTTCCTTTTTCAATATGGGCCTCAAAGTGCTCACAAATGTCCCTTTACAGATTTTACAAAAAGACTGTTACCAAACTGCTCAACTGAAACAAAGCTTCAACTCTTTGAGATGAATGCACACATCACAAAGAAGTTTCTCAGAAAGCTTCCGTCTAGTTTTTATGTGAAGATATTTCCTTTTTCACCGTAAGCCTCAAAGCATTCAAATTATCATTTTGCAGATTCTACAAAAAGACTGTTTCCAACCTGCTCTATCTAAAGAAAGGTTCAACTATGTGAGAAGAATGCACACATCAAAAATAAGTTTGTCAGAATGCTTCTGTCTAGTTTTTATCTGAAGACATTTCCTTTTTCACCATAGGCCAAAAAGGGATCTCAAATATCCCTTTGTACATTCTACAAAGGACTGTTTCCAAACTGCTCAATCCAAAGACAGGTTCAACTCTTTGGGATGAATGCACACATCACAACGAAGTTTCTCAGAAAGCTTCTGTCTAGTTTTTGTGTGAAGATATTACTTTTTTCACCATAGGCTTCAAAGGGCTCACAAATATCGCAAAGCAGATTCTACAAAAAGACTCTATCCAAACTGGTTAAGGAAAAGAACACTTCAAATCTGTGAGATGAATGTGCACATCTCAAAGAATTTTCTCAGAAAGCTTCTGTCTAGTTTTTATGTGAAGATATTTCCATTTTCATCATAGATCTGAAACCGCCTATATATAACCGTTTGCAGATTCTACAAAAAGACTGTTTCCAAACTGCTCAATCAAATAAAGCTTCTACTCTGTGAGATGAATGCAGACATCACAGAGAAGTTTCTCAGAAAGTTTCTGTCTAGTTTTTATTTGTCGATACTCCCTTTTTCACCATAGGCCTCAAACTGCTCATAAATAACCCTTTGCAGATTCTACAGAAGGACTGTTTCCAAACTGCTCAATCAAATGAAAGTTCAGCTGTGTGAGATGAATGCACACATCAAAAATAAGTTTCTCAGAACGTTTCTGTCAAGTTTTTAGGTGAAGATACTTCTTTTTCACCATAAGCCTCAAAGCGTTCCCAAATTTTCCTTTGCAGATTCTATGAAAAGACTGTTTCAAAACTGCTCAATCAAAAGAAAAGTTCAATTCTGTGTGATGAATGCACACATCACAACGAAGTTTCTCAGAAGGCTTCTGTCTAGATTTTATTTCTGGATATTTCCTTTTTCACAATAGGCCGCAGAAAGCTCACAAATATCACTTTGCATATTCTACAAAAAGACAGTTTCCAATCTGCTCAATGAAAGAATATTCAACTCTGTGAGTTGAATGCATGCATCACAAAGGGTTTCTCAGAATGCTTCTGTCTAGTTTTTATATGAAGATATTTCCTTTTTCATCACATGCCTCAAACCACTCCGAAACATCCCTTTGCAGATTGTCCAAAAAGACTGTTTCCAAACTGCTCAATCAAAAGAAAGATTCAAGTCTTTGAGATGCATACACCCATCACAAAGAAGTTTCCCAGAAAACATGAGTCTAATTTTAATGTGAAGATATTTCCTTTTTCACCATAAGCCTCAAAGTGTTCACAAATATCACTTTGCAGTTTCTACAAAAAGACTGTTTCCAAACTACCCAATCAAAAGAAAGGTTCAACTCTGTGAGATGAATGCACACATCACAAAGAAGTTTCACAGATAGCTCTTATTATTTTGAGATACGTCCCATCAATACCTAATTTATTGAGAGTTTTTAGCTTGAAGGCTTGTAGAATTTTGTAAAGGCCTTTTCTGCATCTATTGAGATAATCATATGGTTTTTGTCTTTGGTTCTTTTTATATGCTGGATTACATTTTTTTATTTGCATATATTGAACCAGTGTTGCATCCCAGGGATGAAGCCCACTG
>NC_000020.11:28728974-28751119 GCF_000001405.40 Homo sapiens | reverse complement strand
TCAAAGGAAATCTTCATCTTTGTGAGATGAAACCACACGTCACAAAGAAGTTCCTCATAATGCTTCTGTCTTGTTTTTATGTGAAGATATTTCATATTTTACCATACGCCTCAAAGAGCTCACAAATATCCCTTTGTAGACTCTACACAAAGACTGTTTTCAAAGTTCTCCGTGCAAAGAAAGGTTCAACTCTGTGAGACGAATGCACACATAAAAAAGAAGTTTCTCAGAATGCTTCTTTCTAGTTTTTATGTGAAGATATTTCTTTTTCACCATAGGCATCAAACTGCTCAGAAATATCCCTTTGTAGATTGTACAAAAAAACTGTTTCCAAACTGCTCAATCAAAAGAAAGGTTCAAACCTGTGAGATGAAAGCACATATCACAAAGAAGCTTCTCAGAATGCTTCTGTCTAGTTCTTATGTGAAGATATTACTTTTTCCACCATAGGATTCAAAACGCTCCAAATGTCCACTTCCAGATCCTACAAAAAGAGATTTTAAAAGTTGCTCTATCAGAAGATAGGTTCAACTCTCTGTGTTCAATGCACACATCACAAAGAAGTTTCTCAGAATGCTTCTGTCTAGTTTTTATGTGAAGATATTTCCTTTTCACCATAGGACTCAAACCCCTCAGAAATATCCCTTTGCAGATTGTAGATAAAGACTGTTTCCTAACTGCTCAATCAAAAGAACTGTTCAACTCTGTGAGATGAAAACACACTTCACAAAGAAGTTTCTCAGAAATCTTGTCTAGTTTTTATGTGAAGATATTTCTCTTCTAATGATAGGCCTCAAAACAATCCAAATATCGATTTGCAGATTCTACAAAAGACTGTTTCCAAACTGCTAAATCAGAAGAAATTTTCAACTCTGTAAGATGAAACACACATCACAAAGAAGTTCTTCAGGAAGTCTCTCACTAGATTTTATGTGAAGATATTTAGTTTTTCACCACAAGCCTCAAAACACTCCAAATATCCATTTGCAGATACTGCAAAAAGAGTTTTTCCAAACGGCTCAATCAAAAGAAAGGTTCAACTCTGTGAGATGAATGCAAACATCACAAGGACGTTTCTCAGAATGCTTCTGTATAGTTTTTCTGTGAAGATATTTCCCATTTCACCATGGGCCTCAGTGGGCTCACATATACCCTTTTGCAAATTCTACAAAAAGACTGTTTCCGAATTTCTCAATGAAAAGAAAGATTCAACTCTGGGAGATGAATGCACACATGAATAAGAAGTTTCTCAGAATGCCTCTGTCCAGTTTTTGTGTTAAGATATTTGTTTTTCACCGTAGACCTCAAACTGCTCAGAAATATCCCTTTGCAGATTATACAAAAAGATGGTTTCCAAACTGCTCAATGAAAACAAAGGTTCAACACTGTGACATGAATACTCACATCACAGAGAAGTTTTTCAGAAAGCTTCTGTTTAGTTTTTAGGTGAAAATATTTCCTTTTTCACCGTAGGCCTCAAAGCACTCCAAATATCCTTTTGCAAACCCTACAAAAAGAGAGTTTCCAGACTGTTCAATTAAAAGAAAGACTCAAATCTGTGAGAAGAAAGTACACATCATGAAGAAGTTTCTCATAATGCTTCTGTCTATTTTTTTTGTGAAGATATTTCCTATATCACCATGGGCCTCAAAGGTCTCACAAATATCCCTTTGCAGACTCTAAAAAAAGACAGTTTTTGAACTGCTAAATGAAAAGAAAGGTTCAACTCTGTGAGACAAATGCACACATAATAAATTAGTTTATCATAATGCTTCTGTCTAGTTTTTATGTGAAGATATTTCTTTTTCACCATAGGCATCAAACCGTTCAAAAATATCCCCTTGTAGATTGTACAAAAAGACTGTTTCCAAACTGCTCAATCAAAAGAAATGTTCAAACCAGTGAGATGAATGCGCACGTAACAGAGAAGTTTCTCAGAATTCTTCTGTCTTGTTTTTATGTGAAGATATTACCTTTCTCAACATAGTTCTCAAAGCAATCCAAACATCCATTTGCAGATTCTACAAAAAGACTGTTTCCAAACTGATCAATCAAAACAAATTTTTACCTCTCTGAGATGAAAGCACACATAACAAAAAAGTTACTCAGACAGCTTCTGTCTAGTTTGTATGTGAAGATATTTCCTATTTCACCTGAGACCATAAAGGGCTCACAAATATCCCTTTGAAGGTTCTACAAAAAGACTGTTTCCAAACTGCTCAATCAAAAGAAAGGTTCAACTCTGTGAGGTGAATGGACACATCACAAAAAATTTCTTGTAATGATTCTGTCTAGTTTTTATGTGAAGATATTTCTCTTTCACCATAGGCCTCAAATGGATCAGAATTATCCCTTTGCGGATTGTACAATAAGCCTCTTTCCAACCTGCTCAATCAAAAGAAAGGTTCAACTCTGTGAGGTGAATGCACACATCACAAGGAAGTTTCTCAGAAAGCTTCTGTTTAGTTTTTATGTGAAGATATTTCGTTTTTCACCATGGGCCTCAAAAGCTCTCCAAATATCCATTTGCAGATTCTAGAAAAAGAGTGTTTCCAAACTCCTCAATCAAAAGAAAGTTTCAATTCTGTGAGATGAAAGCACACATCACAAAGAAGTTTCTTAGAAAGCTTTTGTCTAGTTTTTATGTGAAGATATTTCACATTGCACCATAGTACTCAATGGGTTCAGAAATATCCCTTTGCAGATTTTACAAAATGACTGTTTCCAAACTGCTCAATCCAAAAAAAGTTTCAACTATGTGAGATGAATGCACACATCACAAAGAAGTTCCTCAGAATGCTTCTGTCTAGTTTATATGTGAAGAAAATTCCTATTTCACCATAGGCAATAAAGGGCTCACAAATATTTTTTTCAGATTCTACAAAAAGACTGTATCCAAACTGCTCAATAAAAAGAAAGTTTTAACTCTGTTAGATTAATGGACACATCAAAAAGTAGTTTCTCAGAAAACTTCTGTTTGGTTTTTATGTGCAGATATTCCCTTAGTCACCATTGGCCTCAAAGCACTCCTAATATCCATTTACAGATTTCACAAAAAGAGTGTTTCCAAACTCCTCAATCAAAAGAAAGTTTTAACTCTGTGAGATGAAAGCATACATCTCAAAGAAGTTTCTCAGAAAGCTTTGGTCTAGTTTTCATGTGAAGATATTTCCAGTTTCACCATAGGCCTCAAAGGGCTAAGAAATATCCCTTTCCAGATTCTAAAAGACGACCATTTCCATACTGCTCAATCAAAAGAAAAGTTAAATTCTGTGAGGTGAATGCACACATCAGAATGAAGTTTCTTGGAACTCTCCTGTCTAGTTTTTATGTGAAGATATTTACTATTTCACTATAGGCTTCAAATGTCTCAAAAATATCCCTTTGCAGATTCTACAAAAATATGGTTTCCAAAGTGCTGAATTAAAAGAAACCTTCAACTCTGTCAGATGAATGGAGACATCACAAAGAAGCTCCTCAGAATGCTTCTGTCTAGTTTCAATGTGAAGATATTTCTTTTTCACCATAGACCTCAAATGGCTCAGAAATATACCTTTGCAGATTGCAAAAAAAGACTGTCTCTAAACTGCTCAAATAAAATAAAGTCTCAACACTGTGAGATGAATGCGCACATCACAAAGAAGTTTCTCAGAAAGCTTCTGTCTAGTTTTTATGTGAAGATATTTCCTTTTCCACCATAGGCCTTAAACCGCTCACAAATATCCTTCTGCAGATACTATAAAAAGACTGTTTCCAAACTGCTCCATCAAAAGAAAAGTTCACCTCTCTGAGGTGAATGCACACATCAGAAAGAAGTTTCTCAGAATTCTTCTGTCTAGTTTTTATGTGAAGATATTTCCATTTTCAACTTAGGCCACAAAGTGCTCCAAATATCCATTTGCAGATTATATGAAAAGACTGTTTCCAAACTGCTCAATCAAAAGAAATTTTCAACTCTGTGAGATGAAAGCACACATCACAAAAAAGTTTCTCAGAAATCTTCTGTCTAGTTTTTATCTCAAGATAATTCCTATTTTGCCATAGGAATCAAGGGGCTCACAAATATCCCTTTGCAGATTTTACAAAAGTTCTGTTTACAAACTTCTCAATCAAAAGAAACTTTCAACATTGTGAGACGAATGCACACATCACAAAGAAGTTTCTAGGAATTCTTCTGTCTAGTTTTTATGTGAAGATATTTCCTTTTTCACCATAGGCCACAAATTGCTCCAAATATACATTTGCAGATTCTACAAAAAGATGGTTTCCAAAATGGTCAATCAAAAGAAAGGCTCAACTCTGTGAGACGAAAGCACACATCACAAAGAAGTTTCTCAGAAAGCTTCTGTCTACATTTTATGCGAAGGTATTTAATTTTGCACCATAGGCCTTAAACCGCTCACAAATATAACTCCACTTATACTATCAAGAGACTTTCTCCAAATTGCTAAACCAAAAGAAAGATTCAACTCTGTGAGATGAATACACACATCACAAAGAAGTTTCTCATAATGCTTCTGTCTAGTTTTCATGTGAAAATATTTATTTTTCACCATTGGCCCCAAACCGCTCAGAAATATCCCTTTGCAGTTTGTAGAAAAAGACTGTTTCCAAACTGCTCAATGAAAAGAAATGGTCAACTATTAGAGATGAATGGAAATTTCCCAAAGAGTTTTCTCAAAAAGCTACTGTGTTGTTTTTATGTGAAGATATTTCCTTTTTCACTCTAGGCCTTAAAACTCTCTTATACATTCACAGATTCTACAAAAAGATTGATTCCAAACTGCTCAATCAAAAGAAAGGTTCAATTCTGTGAGACAAACGTGCACATCACAAAGAACTTTGTCAGAAAGCTTCTGTCTACTTTTTATGTGAAGATATTTCACATTTCAACGAAGGCCATAAATGGCTCACAAATATCCCTTTGCAGATTCTAAGAAAAGACATTTTCCAAACTCCTCAATCAAAAGAAAGGTTTAACTCTGTGAGATGAATGGACACATCACAAAGAAGTTTCTCAGAAAGCTTCTGTCTAGTTTTTATGTGAAGATATTTCTTTTTCACCATAGGCCTCAAACAGCTAAGAAATTTCCCTCTGCAGCTTCTACAAAAGACTGTTTCCAAACTGCTCAACGGAAAGAAAGGTTGAATTATGTGACATGAATTCACACATCACAAAGAAGTTTTTCAGAAATCTTCTGTCTAGTTTTTATGTGAAGATACTCCCTTTTTCACCACGGGCCTCAAATATCTCCAAATATCCATTTGCAGATTCTACTAAAAGACTTTCCAAACTGCTCAATCAAAAGAAAGGTTCAACACTGTGAGATGAAGGCACACATCACAAAGAAGTTTCTCAGAAATCTTCTGTCTAGTTTTTATGTGAAGATATTTCGTATTTCACCACAGGCCATAAAGGGCTCACAAATATCCCTTTGCAGATTCTACAAAACGACTGTTTCCAAACTGCTCAATCAAAAGAAAGGTTCAACTCTGTGACGTGAATGGACACATCACAAAGAAGTTTCTCAGAATGCTTCTGTCTAGTTTTTATGTGCAGATATTTCATTTTCACCATAGGCCTCAATTGGCTCAGAAATATCCCTTTGCAGATTGTACAAAAAGACTGTTTCCAAGCTGCTCAGTCAAAAGAATGATTCAACTCTGTGAAATGAAAGCATGCATCACAAAGAGGTTTCTCAAAATGCTTCTGTCTAGTTTTTATGTGAATATATTTCCTTTTTAAACATAGGAGTCAAAGCTCTCCAAATATCCATTTGTAGATTCTTCCAAAGACTGTTTCCAAAGTGATCAATCAACAGAAGGGTTCAACTCTGTAGGATGAAAGCACACATCACAAACAAGTTTCTCAGAAAGCTCTGTCTAGTATTTATGTGAAGATATTTCCTATTTCACCATAGGCCTCAATGGGATCAAAAATATCCCTTTGCAGATTCTACAAAAAGACTGTTTCTGAACTGCTCAATGAAAAGAAAGTTTCAACTCTGTGAGGTGAATGCACAGATAAAAAAGAAATTTCTCAGAATGCTTATGTCTAGTTTTTATGTGAAGTTATTTCTTTTTCACCATAGGCCTCAAACCACTCAGAAATATTCCTTTTCAGTTTGCACAAAAAGAACGTTTCCAAACTCCTCAATGAACAGAAAGGTTCAACTCTTTGAGATGAATGCAAATATCACAAAGAGTTATCTCAAAAAGCTTCTGCCTGGTTTTCATGTGAAGATATTTAGTTTTTCACAATAGGCCTCAAACAGCTCACAAATATACCTTTGCAGATTATACAAAATGACTTGTTCCCAAACTGCTCAATGAAAAGAAAGTTTGAATCTGTGAGATGAAAGCACGCATCATGAAGAAGTTTCTCAGAAAGTTTCTATCTAGTTATTGTGTGCAGATACTTCCTTTTTCTCCTTATGCCTCAAAGTGCTCCAAATATGTGTCTACAGGTTCTACAAAAAGAGTGTTTCAAACTGCTCAATCAAAGGAAAGTTTCAACTCTGTGAAATGAAAGCACACAACACAAGGAAGTTTCTCAGAATGCTTCTGTCTAGTTATTATGTGAAAATATTCCCTATTTCACTATAGTACTCAAAGGACTCAGAAATATCCCTTTGCAGACTCTACAAAATGACTGTATCCAAACTGCTCCATCAAAAAAAGGGTTCAACTCTGTGAGATGAAAGCACGCATCACAAAGAAGTTTCTCAGAAAGCTTCTGTCTAGTTTTTATGTGAAGATATTTCCTATTTCACCATAGGCCTCAAAGGACTCAGAAATATCCCTTTGCAGATTCTATGAAAAGACTGTTTCTGAACTACTCAATGAAATGAAAGCTTCAACTCTGTGGGTTGAATGCACACATCACAAAGAAGTTTCCCAGAATGCTTCTGTCTAATTTTTATATGAAGATATTTCTTTTTCACCACAGGCCTCAAACCACTCAGAAATATCCTTTTACAGATTGTGCAAAAAGACTGTTTCCAAACTGCTCAATGAAAAAGGAAGATTCGACTCTGTGAAATGAATGCAAACATCACAAAGAGGTTTCTCAAAAAGCTTCTGTCTGGTTTTTATGTGAAGGTATTTCCTTTTTCACCATAGGCCACAAACCGCTAACAAATATCCCTTTGCAGATACTCCAAAAAGACTGCTTGCAAACTGTTCAATGAAAAGAAAGGTTAAACTTTGTCACACATCACAAAGAAGTTTCTCAGAATGCTTTTGTCTTGTTTTATGTGAAGAAGTTTCGTTTTTCACCATAGGCCTCAAAGTGCTCCAAATATCCATTTGCAGATTCTATGAAAAGACTTTTTCCAAATTGCTCAATCAAAAGAACGGTTCAACTCTGTGTGATGAATGCACACATCACAAAGAAGTTTCTCAGAAAACTTCTGTTTAGTTTTTATGTGAAGATATTTCTTTTTTCATCATGGGCCTCAAAGCGCTCCAAATATCCACCTGCAGAATCTACAAAAAGAGTGTTTTCAAACTGCTTAATCACAAGAAAGTTTCAATTCTGTGAGACTAAAGCACACTTCACAAAGGAGTTTCTTAGAAACCTTCTATCTAGTTTTTATGTGAAGATATTTCATATTTCAATAGGTCTCAATGGGCTCAGAAGTATACTCTTGCAGATGCTACAAAAAGAGTGTTTCCAAAAAGCTCAATCAAAAGAAAGGTTTAACACTGTAAGATGAATGCACACATTACAAAGAAGTCTCTCAGAATGATTCTGTATACTTTTTTTGAGAAGCCATTTCCTTTTTCACCATAGGCCTCAGTCCACTCACTAATAGCCCACTGCAGATACTAAAAAAGACTCTTTCCAAACTGCTCAATCAAAATAAAGGTTCAGATCTGTGAGATGAAAGCCCACGTCACAAAGAAGTTTCTCAGAAAGTATCTTTCTAGTTTTTATGTGAAGATATTTCCTACTTCACCTTAGGCCTCAAAGAGATAAAAAATATCCCTTTTCAGATTCTACAAAAAACTGTTTCCAAACTGCCTCATCAAAAGAAAGGTTCAACTCTGTGAGATCAATGCACACATTAAAAAATTAGTTTCTCAGAATGCTTCTGTCTAGTTTTTATGTGAAGATATTACTTTTTCACCATAGGTCTCAAACCGCAAACAAATATTTCTTTGCAGATTGCACAAAAAGTATGATTCCACACTACTCAATGAATAGAAAGTTTCAACTCAGTGAGATGAATGCAAACATCACAAAGAGTTTTCTCAAAATGCTTCTGTCTAGGTTTTAGGTGAAGATATTTACTTTTTCACTATAGGCTTCAAACCACCCACATATATCCCTTTGCAGATTCTACAAAATGACTTGTTTCCAAACTGCTCAATGAAAACAAGGTCCAACTCTGTGAGATGAAAGCACACATCACAAAGAAGTTTCTCAGAAAGTTTCCATCAAGTTTTAATTTGCAGATATTTTCTTTTTCACCATAGGCCTCAAAGCACTCCAAATATCCGTTTGCAAGTTCTACAAAAAGAGTGTTTCCAAACTGCCCAATCAAAAGAGAGGTTCAACTCTGTGAGGTGAAAGCACACAGCACAAAGAAGATTTACCGAAAGCTTCTGTCTATTTATTTATTTATTTATTTATTTATTATTATACTTTAAGTTTTAGGGTACATGTGCACATTGTGCAGGTTATTTACATACGTATACATGTGCCATGCTGGTGTGCGGCACCCACTAACTCGTCATCTAGCATTAGGTATATCTCCAAATGCTATATCACCCCCTCCCCCTACCCCACAACAGTCCCCAGAGTGTGATGTTCCCCTTCCTGTGTCCATGTGTTCTCATTGTTCAATTCCCTCCTATAACTGAGAATACGTGGTGTTTGGTTTTTTGTTCTTGAGATAGTTTACTGAGAATGATGATTTCCAATTTCATCTATGTCCCTACAAAGGACATGAACTCATCATTTTTTATGGCTGCATAGTATTCCATGGTGTATATGTGCCACATTTTCTTAATCCAGTCTATCATTGTTGGACATTTGGGTTGGTTCCAAGTCTTTGCTAATGTGAATAATGCCGCAATAAACATACGTGTGAATGTGTCTTTATAGCAGCATGATTTATGGTCCTTTGGGTATATACCCAGTAATGGGATGGCTGGGTCAAATGGTATTTCTAGTTCTAGATCCCTGAGGAATCGCCACACTGACTTCCACAATGGTTGAACTAGTTTACAGTCCCACCAACAGTGTAAAAGTATTCCTATTTTTCCACATCCTCTCCAGCACCTGTTGTTTCCTGACTTTTCAATGATCGCCATTCTAACTGGTGTGAGATGGTATATCATTGTGGTTTTGATTTGCATTTCTCTGATGGCCAGTGATGGTGAGCATTTTTTCATGTGTTTTTTGGCTGCATAAATGTCTTCTTTTGAGAAGTGTCTTTTCATATCCTTCTCCCACTTTTTGATGGGGTTGTTTGTTTTTTTCTTGTAAATTTGTTTGAGTTTATTGTAGATTCTGGATATTAGCCCTTTGTCAGATGAGTAGGTTGCAAAAATTTTCTCCCATTTTGTAGGTTGTCTGTTCACTCTGATGGTAGTTTCTTTTGCTGTGCAGAAGCTCTTTAGTTTCATTAGATCCCTTTGTCAATTTTGGCTTTTGCTGCCATTGCTTTTGGTGTTTTAGACATGAAG
This sequence comes from Homo sapiens, assembly GCF_000001405.40. Lineage (NCBI taxonomy): Eukaryota > Metazoa > Chordata > Mammalia > Primates > Hominidae > Homo > Homo sapiens. The sequence goes on along the minus strand of NC_000020.11, from coordinate 28,741,423 downwards.
TCCTTGCCCATGCCTATGTCCTGAATGGTAATGCCTAGGTTTTCTTCTAGGGTTTTTATGGCTTTAGGTCCAAAGTTTAAGTCTTTAATCCGTCTTGAATTAATTTTTGTATAAGGTGTAAGGAAGGGATCCAGTTTCAGCTTTCTACATATGGCTAGCCAATTTTCCCAGCACCATTTATTAAATAGGGAATACTTTCCCCATTGCTTGTTTTTCTCAGGTTTGTCAAAGATCAGATAGTTGTAGATACACGGCATTATTTCTGAGGGCTCTGTTCTGTTCCATTGATCTATATCTCTGTTGTGGTACAAGTACCATGCTGTTTTGGTTACTGTAACCTTGTAGTGTAGTTTGAAGTCAGGTAGTGTGATGCCTCCAGCTTTGCTCTTTTGGCTTAGGATTGACTTGGCGATGTGGGCTCTTTTTTGGTTCCATATGAAATTTAAAGTAGTTTTTTCCAATGCTGTGAAGAAAGGCATTGGTAGCTTGATGGGGATGGCATTGAATCTGTAAATTACCTTGGGCAGTATGGCCATTTTCACGATATTGATTCTTCCTACCCATGAGCATGGAATGTTCTTCCATTTGTTTGTATCCTCTTTTATTTCCTTGAGCAGCGGTTTGTAGTTCTCCTTGAAGAGGTCCTTCACATCCCTTGTAAGTTGAATTCCTAGGTATTTTATTCTCTTTGAAGCAATTGTGAATGGGAGTTCACTCATGATTTGACTCTCTGTCTGTTGTTGGTGTATAGGAATGCTTGTGATTTTTGCACAATGATTTTGTATCCTGAGACTTTGCTGAAGTTGCTTATCAGCTTAAGGAGATTTTCGGCTGAGACAATGGGGTTTTCTAGATATACAATCACGTCATCTGCAAACAGGGACAATTTGACTTCCTCTTTTCTTAATTGAATACCCTTTATTTCCTTCTCCTGCCTAATTGCCCTGGCCAGAAATTCCAACACTATGTTGAATAGGAGTGGTGAGAGAGGGCATCCCTGTCTTGTGCCAGTTTTCAAAGTGAATGCTTCCAGTTTTTGCCCATTCAGTATGATATTGGCTGTGGGTTTGTCATAGATAGCTCTCATTATTTTGAAATATGATCCATCAATACCTAATTTATTGAGAGTTTTTAGAATGAAGGATTGTTGAATTTTGTCAAAGGCCTTTTCTGCATCTATTGAGATGATCATATGGTTTTTGTCTTTGGCTCTGTTTATATGCTGGATTACATTTATTGATTTGCATATATTGAAACAGCCTTGCATCCCAGGGATGAAGCCCCCTTGATCATGGTGGATCAGCTCTTTGATGTGCTGCTGGATTCGGTTTGCCAGTATTTTATTGAGGATTATTGCATCAATGTTCATCAAAGATTTTGGTCTAAAATTCTCTTTTTTGGGTTGAGTCTCTACCCGGCTTTGGTATCAGGATGATGCTGGCCTCATAAAATGAGTTAGGGAGGATTCCCTCTTCTTCTATTCATGGAATAGTTTCAGAAGGAATGGTACCAGTTCCTCCTTGTACCTCTACTAGAATTAGGCTGTGAATCCATCTGGTCCTGGACTCTTTTTGGTTGGTAAGATATTGAATATTGCCACAATTTCAGATCCTGTTATTGGTCTATTCAGAGATTTATCTTCTTCCTGGTTTAGTCTTGGGAGAGTCTATGTGTCAAGGAATGTATCCATTTCTTCTAGATTTTCTAGTTTATTTGCATAGAAGGGTTTGTAGTATTCTCTGATGATAGTTTGTATTTCTGTGGGATTGGTGGTGATATCCCCTTTATCATTTTTTATTGCATCTATTTGATTCTTCTCTCTTTTTTTCTTTATTAGTCTTGCTAGCAGTCTATCAATTTTGTTGATCCTTTCAAAAAACCAGCAGTGCTATAAATTTCCCTCTACACACTGCTTTGAATGCGTCCCAGAGATTCTGGTATGTTGTGCCTTTGTTCTCGTTGGTTTCAAAGAACATCTTTATTTCTGCCTTAATTTTGTTATGCACCCAGTAGTCATTCAGGAGCAGGTTGTTCAGTTTCCATGTAGTTGAGCGGTTTTGAGTGAGACTCTTAATCCTGAGTTCTAGTTTGATTGCTCTGTGGTCTGAGAGATAGTTTGTTATAATTTCTATTCTTTTACATTTGCTGAGGAGAGCTTTACTTCCAATTATGTGGTCAATTTTGGAATAGGTGTGGTGTGTTCCTGAAAAAAATATATATTCTGTTGATTTGGGATGGAGAGTTCTGTAGATGTCTATTAGGTCCACTTGGTGCAGAGCTGAGTTCAATTCCTGGGTATCCTTGTTGACTTTCTGTCTCATTGATCTGTCTAATGTTGACAGTGGGGTGTTAAAGTCCCCCATTATTAATGTGTGGGAGTCTAAGTCTCTTTGTAGGTCACTCAGGACTTGCTTTATGAATCTTGGTGCTCCTGTATTGGGTGCATATATATTTAGGATAGTTAGCTCTTCTTGTGGAATTGATCCCTTTACCATTATGTAATGGCCTTCTTTGTCTCTTTTGATCTTTGTTGGCTTAAAGTCTGTTTTATCAGAGACTAGGATTGCAACCCCTGCCTTTTTTTTTGTTTTCCATTTGCTTGGTAGATCTTCCTCCATCCTTTTATTTTGAGCCTATTTGTGTCTCTGCAAGTGAGATGGGTTTCCTGAATACAGCACACTGATGGGTCTTGACTCTTTATAAATTTGCCAGTCTATGTCTTTTAACTGGAGCATTTAGTCCATTTACATTTAAAGTTAATAGTGTTATATGTGAATTTGATCCTGTCATTATGATGTTAGCTGGTTATTTTGCTCGTTAGTTGATGCAGTTTCTTCCTAGTCTCAATGGTCTTTACATTTTGGCTTGATTTTGCAGTGGCTGGTACTGGTTGTTCCTTTCCATGTTTAGCGCTTCCTTCAGGAGCTCTTTTAGGGCAGGCCTGGTGTGACAAAATCTCTCAGCATTTGCTTCTCTGTAAAGTATTTTATTTCTCCTTCACTTATGAAGCTTAGTTTGGCTGGATATGAAATTCTGGATTGAAAATTCTTTTCTTTAAGAATGTTGTATATTGGCCCCCACTCTCTTCTGGCTTGTAGGGTTTCTGCTGAGAGATCTGCTGTTAGTCTGATGGGCTTCCCTTTCAGTGTAACCCGACCTTTCTCTCTGGCTGCCCTTAACATTTTTTCCTTCATTTCAACTTTGGTGAATCTGACAATTATGTGTCTTGGAGTTGCTATTCTCGAGGAGTATCTTTTCGGTGTTCTCTGTATTTCCTGAATCTGAACGTTGGCCTGCCTTGCTAGATTGGGGAAATTCTCCTGGATAATATCCTGTAGAGTGTTTTCCAACTTGGTTCCATTCTCCCCATCACTTTCAGGTACACCAATCAGACGTAGATTTGGTCTTTTCACATAGTCCCATATTTCTTGTAGGCTTTGCTCATTTCTTTTTATTCTTTATCCTCTAAACTCTCCTTCTCACTTCATTTCATTCATTTCATCTTCCATCGCTGATATCCTTTCTTCCAGTTGATTGCATCGGCTCCTGAGGCTTCTGCATTCTTCACTTAGATCTTGAGCCTTGGTTTTCAGCTCCATCAGCTCCTTTAAGCACTTCTCTGTATTGGTTATTCCAGTTATACATTCTTCTAAATTTTTTCAAAGTTTTCATCTTCTTTGCCTTTGGTTTGAATGTCCTCCCATAGCTCAGATTAATTTGATCATCTGAAGCCTTCTTCTCTCAGCTCGTCAAAGTCATTCTCCGACCAGCTTTGTTCCGTTGGTGGTGAGGAGCTGCCTTCCTTTGGAGGAGGAGAGGCGCTCTGATTTCTAGAGTTTCCATTTTTTCTGTTCTGTTTTTTCCCCATCTTTGTGGTTTTATCTACTTTTGGTCTTTGATGATGGTGATGTACAGTTGGGTTTTTGGTGTGGATGTCCTTTCTGTTTGTTAGTTTTCCTTCTAACAGACAGGACCCTCAGCTGCAGGTCTGTTGGAGTACCCTGCAGTGTGAGGTGTCAGTGTGCCCCTGCTGGACGGTGCCTCCCAGTTAGGCTGTTCAGGGGTCAGGGTGCAGGGACCCATTTGAGGAGGCAGTCTGCCAGTTCTCAGATCTCCACCTGTGTACTGGGAGAACCACGGCTCTGTTCAAAGCTGTCAGACAGAGACATTTAAGTCTGCAGAGGTTACTGCTGTCTTTTTGTTTGTCTGTGCCCTGCCCCAAAGGTGGAGCCTACAGAGGCAGGCAGGCCTCCTTGAGCTGTGGTGGGCTCCACCCAGTTCCAGCTTCCTGGCTGCTTTGTTTACCTAAGCAAGCATGGGCAATGGTGCACGCCCCTCCACCAGCATCGCTGCCTCCTTGCAGTTTGATCTCAGACTGCTATGCTAGCAATCAGTGAGACTCCGTGTGGTAGGACCCTCCGAGCCAGGTGTGGGATATAATCTAGTGGTGCACCGTTTTTTAAGCCCATCGGAAAAGCGCAGTATTTGGGTGGGTGTGACCCGATTTTCCAGGTGCCATCCGTCACCCCTTTCTTTGATTAGGAAAGGGAACTCCCTGACCCCTTGTGCTTCTCGAGTGAGGCAATGCCTCACCCTGCTTGTGCTCGTGCACGGTGCATGCACCCACTGACCTGCGCCCACTGTCTGGCACTCCCTAGTGAGATGAACCCGGTACCTCAGATGGAAATGCAGAAATCATCTGTCTTCTGTGTCACTCAGGCTGGGAGCTGTAGACCGGAGCTGTTCCTGTTCGGCCATCTTGGCTCTTGTTCTTCTGTCTAGTTTTTATGTGAAGACATTTCCTATTTCACCATAGGCTCCAATGTGCTCACAAACATCCCTTTGCAGATTCTACAAAAGGACTCTTTCCAAACTGCTCAATCCAAGGAAAGTTTCAACTCTGTGACATGAATGCATACATCACAAAGAAGTTTCTCAGAATACTTCTGTCTAGTTTTTATGTAAAGAAATTTCCTGTTCACCATAGACCTGAAACACTGCAAATATCCATCTTCAGATTCGACAAAAAGACTGTTTCTAAACTGCTCAATCAAAAGAAAAGTTCAACTCTGTGAGATGAAGGTACACATCACAAAGAATTTTCTCAGAAAGCTTCTGTCAAGTTAGTTTTGTGAAGATATTCCCTATTTCACCATAGGCCTGAAAGGGCTCACAAATATCCTTTTGCATATTATACAAAAAGACTGTCTCCAAACTGCTCAATCAAAAGAAAGTTTCAACTCTGTGTGATGAATTCACACATTACAAAGAAGTTTCTTAGAATGCTTTTGTCTAGTTTTTATATGAAGATACTTCTCTCACAATAAGCCTCAAATGGCTCAGAAGTATCCCTTTGCAGATTGTACAAAAAGACTGTTTCAAAACTGCTCAATCAAAAGAAAGTTTCAACACTGTGAGATGAATGCACACATCCAAAGAAGTCTCTCAGAAAGCTTCTGTTAAGATTTCATGTGAAGATATATCCTTTTTCACCATAGGCCTCAATGGGCTCAGAAGTATCCCTTTGTAGATTCTGCAAAAGGTCTGTTTTGAAAACTGCTCAATCCAAAGAAAGGTTCAAATCTGTGAGATGAATGCACACATTTCAAAGAAGTTTCTCACAATGGATCTGCCGAGGTTTTCTGTGAAGATATATCCTTTTTAACCATAGGCCTTAAACTGCTCATGAATATCCCTCTGCAGATACTGCAAAAAGACTGTTTCCAAACTGCTGCATCCAAAGAAATGTTCAACTCTGTGAGATGAGTACACACATCACAAAGAAGTTTTTCAGAATGCTTCTGTCTGGTTTTTATGTGAAGATATTTCCTATTTCACCATAGGCTGTAAAGGGTTCACAAATATCCATTTGCATATTCAAAAAAAAAAGACTGTTTCCAAACTGTTCAAACTACAGAAAGGTTCAACTGTGTGAGATGAATGCACACATCAGAAAGAGGTTTCTCAGAATGCTTCTGTCTGGTTTTTAGGTTTTTATGTGAAGATATTTCCTTTTTCAGCATAGGACTCAGTGGGCTCAGAAATATCCCTTTGCAGATTCTACAAAAGGACTGTTTAGAAAACTGCTGAATCCAAAGAAAGATTCAACTCTGTGAGATTAATAGACACATCACAAAGAAGTTTTGCAGAATACATATGTCTAGTTTTTCTGTGAAGATATTTCTTTTTTCACCATAGGCCTCAAAGCACTCAAAATACCCATTTGTAGATTCTACAAAAAGAGTGTTTCCAAACTGCTCAATCAAAAGAAAGGTTCAACCCTGTGACACGGAAGCAAACATCAGAAAGAAGTTTCTCAGAAAGCTTCTGTCTAGTTTTTATGTGAAGGTATTTCCTATTTCACCATGGGCCATATAGCGCTAACAAATATTTTTTGCAAATTCTACAAAAAGACTGTTTCCAAACTGCTCAATCCAAAGAAAGTTTCAACTCTGTGAGATGAATGGACACATCACAAAATAGTTTATCAGAATGCTTTTGTCTAGTTTTTATGTGAAGACATTTCTTTTTCACCCTAGGCTTCAATGGGCTCAGAAATATCCCTTTGCAGATTCCACAAAAGGACTGTTTCCAAACGGCTCAATCAAAGAAAGGTTCAACTCTATGAGATGAATGCACACATCACATAGATGTTCTCTCAAAATCCTTCTGTCTATTTTATATGTGAAGGTATTTCCTTTCTCACCATAGGCTTCAAAGTGTTCCAAACATCCATTTGCTGATTCCATAAAAAGACTGTTTCCAAACTCCTCAATCAAAGAAGGATTCAACTGTATGAAATGAATTCACACATCACGAGATGTTTCTCCCAATGCTTCTGTCTATTTTTTATGTGAAGGTATTTCCTTTTTCACCATAGGCCTCAAAGTGCTCCAAACATCCATTTGCTGATTCCACAAAAAGACTCTTTCCAAATTGCTCAATCAAAAGAAAGGTACAACTCTGTGTGTTGAAAGCACACATCACAAAGAAGTTTCTCAGAATGCTTCTGTCTAGTTTAGATTCTACAAAAAGACTGTTTCCAAACTGCTCAATCCAAAGAAAGGTTCAACTCTGTGAGATGAATGGACACAAGACAAAGAAGTTTCTCAGAATACTTCTGTCTAGGGTTCATGTGAGATATTTCCTTTTTCACCATAGGCCTCAAAGTGCTCCAAATATCCATTTGCAGATTCCACAAAAAGACTGTGTCGAAATTGCTCAATAAAAAGGAAGTTTCAACTCTGTGAGGTGAAAGCACACATCACAAAGAAGTTTCCTAGAATGTATCTTTCTAGTTTTTTTGTGAAGATATTTCCTTTTTCACCATAGGCCTCAACATGCTCGAAGTATCCATTTGCAGATTCTACCAAAGGACTGTTTACAAAATGCTAAATCAAAAGAAAGTTTCAGCTCTGTGATATGAATGCATGCATCACAAAGAAGTTTCTCAGAAAGCTTCTGTTTAGTGTTTATCTGAAGATATTTCCTTTTTCACCGCAGGCTTCAAAGCCCTCCAAATATGCATTTCCAGATTCTATAAAAAATCTGTTTCGAAACTGCTCAATGAAAAGAAAGGTTCAACTCTGTGAGATGAAAGCACATATCACAAAGAAGTTTCTCAGAATGTTTCTTTCTGGTTTTTTTATGAAGATATTTCCTTTTTCACCATAGAACTCAAAGCACTCCAAATATCCATTTGCAGATTCTACAAAAAGACTGTTTACAAACTGCCCAATCAAAAGAAGGTTTCGACACTGTGAGATGAATGCACTCATTACAAAGTAGTTTCTCAGAAAGCTTCTGTTTAGTTTTTATGTGAAGATATTTCCTTTTTCACCATAGGCCTCAAAACGCTCAAATTATCCATTTGCAGATTCTGCAAAAAGAGTGTTTCCAAACTGCTCAGTCAAAAGAAATGCTTAACTCTTTGAGATGAAAGCACTCATTAAATATAAGTTTCTCAAAAAGCTTCTGTCTAGCTTTTATGTGAAGGTATTTCCTATATCACCAAAGACCTCAATCGGCTGAGAAATATCCCTTTGGGGATTCTACAATAGGACTGTTTCCAAACTGCTCTAGCAAAGGAAAGGTTCAACTCTGTTAGATGAATGCACGCATCAGAAAAAAGTTTCTCAGAAAGTTTCTGTGTAGTTTTTATGTGAAGATATTTCCTACTTCACCATAGGCCTCAAAGGGTTCACAATTATCCCTTTGTAGATTTTACAAAAAGACTGTTTCCAAATCTTCAATCAAATAAATGTTCAACTGTGTGAGATGAATGAAAACCTCACAAAGAAGTTTCTCAGAATGCTTCCATCGAATTTTTATGTAATGATATTTCCCTTTCTACCATGGGCCTCAAAGCACTCCAAATATCCATTTGCAGATTCTCCAAAAAGATGGTTTCCAAACTTCTCAATCAAAAGAAAGGTTCAACTCTGTGAGATGGAAGCACACACCACAAAACGTTTCTTAGAAACCTTCTGTCTAGTTTTTATGGGAAGATATTTCATATTTCACCATAGGCCTCAATGGTCTCAGAAATATACCTTTGCAGATTCTACAAAAGGATTGTTTCCAAGCTGCTCAATCCAAAGAAAGGTTCAACTCTGTGAGATGAATCGACACAAGACAAAGATGTTTCTCAGAATACTTCTGTCTAGTTTTTATGTGAAGATATTTCTTTGTTCACCGTAGGCCTCAAACTGCTCGCAAACATCCCTCTACAGATACTACAAAGAGACTGTTACCAAACTGTTTAATCAAAAGAAGGGATCAACTCTGTGTTATAAATGCACATGTCACAAAGGAGTTTCTCAGAATCCTTCTGTCTAGTTTTTACGTGAAGATATTTCCTTTCTCACCAAGGCCTACAACCACTCCAAATATCCATTTGCAGATGCTACAAAAAGATCGTTTCCAAACTGTTCAATGAATAGAAGGGTTCAACTCTGTGAGATGAAAGCACACATCACAAAGAAGTTTCATAGAATGTTGCTTTCTAGTTTTTATGTGAAGATATTTCCTTTTTCACCATAGTCCTCAAAGTGCTCCAAATATCCATTTGCAGATTCTACAAAAAGTGTGTTTCCAAACTGCTCAATCAAAAGAAACGTTCAACTCTGTGAGATAAAAGCACACATCACAAATAAGTTTCTCAGAAATCTTCTGACTAGTTTTTATGTGAAGATATTTCCTATTTCACCATAGGCCTCAATGGGCTCACAAATATCCCTTTGCAGAATCTAAAAAAGGTCTGTTTTGAAACTGCTCAATCAGAAGAAAGTTTCAACTCTGTGAGATGAATGCATACATCACAAAGAAGTTTCTCAGAATGCTTCTGTCTAGTTTTTAGGTGAAGATATTTCCTTTTTCACCATAGGCGTCAAAGTGCTCCAAATATCCATTTGCATATTGTACAAAAAGTCTCTTTCCAAACTCCTCAATCAAAAGAGAGGTTCAACTCTGTGAAATGAAAGCACACTTCATGAAGAAGTTTCTCAGAATGCTTCTGTCTAATTTTTATGTGAAGATATTTCCTACTTCACCTTAGGCCATAAAGGGCTCACAAATATCCCTCTGCAGATTCTAGAAAAGGACTCTTTTCAAACTGCTCAATCAAAAGAAAGGTTCAAATCTGTGAGATGAATGCACACATCACAAAGAAGTTTCTCCAAAAGCTTCTGTCCACTTTTTATGTGACGATATTTCCCTTTTCACCATGCCTACCAAAGAGCTCAAAATATCCCTTTGCAGATTCTCAGAAAAGACTGTTTCCAAACTTCTCAATCAAAAGAATGGTTCAACTCTGTGAAATGAATGCATATATCACAAAGAAGTTTCTCTGAAATCTTCTGTGTAGTTTTTATGTGAAGACGTTTCCTTTTTTACCATAGGCCTCAAGCCACTCACAAATATCCCTTTGCAGATTTTACAAGAACAGAGTTTCCAGACTCATCAAGGAATAGAAACTTTTATCTCTCTGAGACGAGTGCACACCTTGCAAAACAGCTTCTCAGAAACATTCTTTATAGTTTTTATTGAAGATGTTTCCTTTTTCACCATAGGCCTCCTAGAGCTGAAAAATATCCCTTTTCAGATTCTACAAAAAGTCTGTTTACAAACTGCTCAATTAAGAGAATGGTTCAACTCTGTGAGATGAATGCACACATCACAAAGAGGTTTCTCAGAAATCTTCTGTCTAGTTTTTATGTGAAGATATTTCCTTTCTCACCATAGGCCTCAAAGGGCTCACAAATATCCCATTGCAGTTTCTACAAATCGGCAGTTTTCAAACTGTTCAGTCAAAAGACTGTTTCAACTCTGTGAGATGAATGCACACATGACAGGGAGGTTTCTCAGAGAACTTCTGTCTATTTATTATGTGAAGGTATTTCCTTTTTCACCAAAGGCCTCAAAGCACTCACAAATATCTCCTTGCAGATTCTACAACAACAGAGTATGCAAACTGATTAATCAAAAGAAGGCATCACATAAAATCTCTAGAAGAAAACCTAGGCAACAACATTCAGGACATAGGCATGGGCAAGGTCTTCATATCTAAAACACCTAAAGCAATGGTAACAAAAGCCACAATTGACAAATTGTTTCTCATTAAACTAAGGAGCTTCTGCACAGCAAAAAAACCACCATCAGAGTGAACAGGAATCCTATAGAATGGGAGAAAAATTTTGAAACCTACTCATCTGACAAATGGCTAATATTCAGAATCTACAATGAACTCAGGCAAATTTACAGGAAAAAAAACAAACAACCCCATCAAAAAGTGGGCGAAGGATATGAACAGACATTTCTCAAAAGAAGACATTTACGCAGCCAATGAACAAATGAAAAAATGCTCATCTTCACTGGCCATCAGAGAAATGCAAGTCAAAATCACAATGAGATACCATCTCACACCAGTTAGAATGGCAATCATTAAAAAGTCAGGAAACAACAGGTGCTGGAGAGGATGTGAGAAATAGGAACACTTTTGCACTGTTGGTGGGACTGTAAACTAGTTCAACCATTGTGGAAGTCGGTATGGCGATTCCTCAGGGATCTAGAACTAGAAATACCACTTGACCCAGCCATCCCATTACTGGGTATATATACCCAAAGGATTATAAATCATGCTGCCATAAAGACACATGCACACGTATGTTTATAGCGGCACTATTCACAATAGCAAAGACTTGGAACCAACGTAAATGTCCAACAACGATAGACTGGATGAAGAAAATGTGGCACATATACATCATGGAACACTATGCGGCCATAAAAAATGATGAGTTCATGTCCTTTGTAGGGACATGGATGAAGCTGGAAACCATCATTCTCAGCGAACTATCACAAGGATAAAAAATAAAACACCACATGTTCTCACTCATAGTTGGGAATTGATCAAAGAGAACACATGGACACAGGAAGGGAAACATCACACACCACACACCACACAACAGGGATTGTAGTCGGGTGGGAGGAGGGGGAGGGGGAGGGATAGCATTAGGAAATATACCTAATGCTAAATGATGAGTTCATGGGAGCAACACACAAACATGGCACATGTATACATATGTAACAATCCTGCACGTTGTACACGTTCCCTAAAACTTAAATTATAATAATAATAAAAGTAAATAATTAAAACATAAACCCAGAGCTCCAAAAAAAAGAATGGTTCAACTCTATGAGATGAATGCATAAATCACAAATAAGTTCCTCAGAAAGCTTCTGTGTACATTTTATATGAAGATATTTTCTTTTTCACCATAAGCCTCAAAGCGCTCACAAATATCCCTTTGCAGATTCTACAAGAAAAGAGTTTCCCATCTACTCAATGAAAAGAAACATTTACCTCTGTGAGATGAATGCACACATAACAAAGCAGTTTCTCAGAAACATTCTGTATAGTTTTTATGTGAAAATATTTCCTTTTTCCCCATAGGACTCAAAGCGCTCACAAATATCCCTTTGCTGATTCTTCAAAAAGACTGTTTCCAAACTGCTCAATCAAAAGAATGTTTCAACTGTTTGAAAGGAATGCACACATAAAACAGAAGTGTCTCAGAAAGCTTCTGTCTAGTATTCATGTGAAGATATTTCCTTTCTCACCATTGGCCTCCAAGTGTACCCAAATATCCCTTTGCAGATTCTACAAAAAGACTGTTACCAATATGCTAAATCAATAGAAAGGTTCAAGTCTGTGAGATGAATTCAAACATCACAGAGCACTTTCTCAGAAACCATCTTTCTAGTTTTTCTGTGAAGATTTTTCCTTTTTCACCTCAGGTTTCAAAGTGCTCACAAATATCCTTTTGTAGATTCTACAAAAAGACTGTTACCAAACCTCTCAATCAAAAGAATGGTTAAACTCTGTGAGATGAATGCACATATCACAAAAAAGTTTCTCAGAAATCTTCTATCTAGTTTTTATGTGAAGATCA
>NC_000020.11:28719161-28728874 GCF_000001405.40 Homo sapiens | reverse complement strand
TCTGTCTAGTTTTTATGTGAAGATATTTCCTTTTAAACCATAGGCCACAATTCGCTCCAAATATCCACTTGCAGTTGTATCAAAAAGACTGTTTCAAAACCCTCAATCAAAAGAAAGTTTCAACACTGTGAGATGAATGCACACATTACAAAGAAGTTTCTCAGAATACTTCTGTCTAGTTTTTATGTGAAGATATTTCCTTTTCCACCACAGACCTGAAAGCACTCCAAATATCCACTTGCAGATCCTACAAAAAGAGTATTTCAAAACAGCTCCATCAAAAGAATGGTTCAACTTGGTGAGATGAATGCACACATCACAAAGAAGTTTCTCAGAGTGTTTCTGTCTAGTTTTTACGTGAAGATATTTCCTTTTCCACCATAGACCACAAATCGCTCCAAATATCCACTTGCATATACAACAAAAAGAGTGTTTCAAAACTGCTCAATCAAAAGAAAGGTTCAACTCTGTGAGATGAATGCACACATCACAAAGTAGTTTCTCAGATTGCTTCTGTCTAGTTTTTATGTGAAGATATTTATTTTCCACCATAGGCCGCAAAGCGCTCCAAATATTCACTTGCAGATTCTAGAAAAAGAGTGTTTCAAAAGGCTAAATGAAAAGAAAGGTTCAACTCTGTGATATATATGCACACGTCACAAAGAAGTTTCTCAGAATGCTTCTGTCTACTATTTATGTGAAGGTATTTCCTTTTCCAAAATATGCCCCAAAGCGCTCCTATTATCCACAGGCAGATTCTACAAAAAGAGTGTCTCAAAACTTCTCAATCAAAAGAAAATTTCAACCCTGTGAGATGAATGCAAACATCACAAAGAAGTTTCTCAGAATGCTTCTGTCTAGTTTTTAAGTGAAGATATTTCCTTTTCCTCCATAGGCCTCAAAGCGCTCCAAATATCCTCTAGCAGATTCCACAAAAGGGTGTTTCAAAACTGCTTAATCAAAAGAAATGTTCAACTCTGTGAGAGGAATGCACACATCACAAATAAGTTTCTCAGAATGTTTCCTCTAGTTTTTATGTGAAGATATTTCCTTTTCCACCATAGTCCTCAAAGTGCTCCAAATATCCACTGGCTGATTCTCCGAAAAGAGCATTTCAAAACTGCTCAATCAAAAGAAATTTTCAATCTGTGAGATGAATGTGCACATCACAAAGAAGTTTGTCAGAATGCTTCCGTGTAGCTTTTATGTGCATTTATTCCCTTTTCCACAATAGGCCTCAAGTGGCTCCAAATGTCCACTTGCAGATTCTACAAAAAGAGAGTTTCAAAACTGCTCAGTCAAAAGAAATGTTAAACTCTCTCTGATGAATGCACACATCACAAAGAAGTTTCTCAGAATGCTTCCATCAAGTTTTTATGTGGAGATATTTCCTTTCTAGCATCGACCCCTAAGCACTCCAAATATCCACTTACAGATCCTTCAAAAAGTGTGTTTCAAAACTGCTGAATCAAAAGAAAGGTTCAACTCTGTGAGTTGAATGCACATATCAGAAAGAAGTTTCTCAGAATGCTTCTGTCTAGTTTATATGTGAAGGTATTTCCTTTTCCGTCATACTCATCAAAGCGTTCCAAATATTCACTTGCACATGCTACAAAAAGAGTGTATCAAATCTGCTCAATGAAAACAATGGTTCAATTTGGTGAGATAAGTGAAAACAACACGAGGAAGTTTTGCAGAATGCTTCTGTCTAGTTTTTCTGTGAAAATATTTCCTTTACTACCATAGGACACAATCGCTCCAAATATCGACTTTCAGATTCTACAAAAAGGGTGTTTCAATACTGCTCGATGAAAAGAAAGATTCAACCCAGTGAGATGAACGCACACATCACAAAGAAGTTTCTCAGAAGGCTTCTGTCTAGTTTTTATGTGAAGATATTTCCTTTTAAACCATAGGACACAATTCGCTCCAAATATCCACTTGCAGTTTCATCAAAAAGACTGTTTCAAAACCCTCAATCAAAAGAAAGTTTCAACACTGTGAGATGAATGCACACATTACAAAGAAGTTTCTCAGAATACTTCTGTCTAGTTTTTATGTGAAGATATTTCCTTTTCCACCACAGAACCTGAAAGCACTCCAAATATCCACTTGCAGATCCTACAAAAAGAGTATTTCAAAACAGCTCCATCAAAAGAATGGTTCAACTTGGTGAGATGAATGCACACATCACAAAGAAGTTTCTCAGAGTGTTGCTGTCTAGTTTTTATGTGAAGATGTTTCATTTTCCACCATACGCCTCAAAGCGCTCTAAATATCCACTTGCAGATTCCTCAAAAAGAGTGTTTCAAAACAGCTCAATCAAAAGAAAGGTTCAACTCTGTGAGATGAATGCACACATCACAAAGAAGTTTATCAGAATGCTTCTGTCTAGTTTTTAAGTGAAGATATTTCCTTTTCCTCCATAGGCCTCAAAGAGCTCCAAATATCCTCTAGCAGATTCTACAAAAAGAGTGTTTCAAAACTGCTTAATCAAAAGAAATGTTCAACTCTGTGAGAGGAATGCACACATCACAAATAAGTTTCTCAGAATGTTTCCTCTAGTTTTTATGTGAAGATATTTCCTTTTCCACCATAGTCCTCAAAGCGCTCCAAATATCCACTGGCCGATTCTCCAAAAAGAACATTTCAAAACTGCTCAATCAAAAGAAATTTTCAAATCTGTGAGAGGAATCTGTACATCACAAAGAAGTTTCTCAGAATGCTTCCGTGTAGCTTTTATGTGAAGATATTCCCTTTTCCACTATAGGCCTCAAGTGGCTCCAAATGTCCACTTGCAGATTCTACAAAAAGAGAGTTTCAAAACTGCTCAGTCAAAAGAAAGGTTAAACTCTCTCTGATGAATGCACACATCACAGAGAAGTTTCTCAGAATGCTTCCGTCAAGTTTTTTATGTGGAGATATTTCCATTCCACCATCGGCCCCTAAGCACTCCAAATAGCCACTTACAGATTCTTCAAAAAGCGTGTTTCAAAACTGCTGAATCAAAAGAAAGGTTCAACTCAGTGAGTTGAATGCACATATCAGAAAGAAGTTTCTCAGAATGCTTCTGTCTAGTTTGTACGTGAAGGTATTTCCTTTTCCGTCATACTCATCAAAGAGTTCCAAATATTCACTTGCACATTCTACAAAAAGAGTGTATCAAATCTGCTCAATGAAAACAATGGGTCAATTTGGTGAGATAAGTGAACACATCACGAGGAAGTTTTGCAGAATGCTTCTGTCTAGTTTTTCTGTGAAAATATTGCCTTTACTACCATAGGACACAATCGCTCCAAATATCTATTTCAGATTCAAAGAAAAGGGTGTTTCAATATTGCTCGATGAAAGGAAAGATTCAACCCGGTGAGATGAACGCACGTATCACAAAGAAGTTTCTCAGAAAGCTTCTGTCTAGCTTTTATGTGAAGATATTTCCTTTTAAACCATAGGCCACAATTCGCTCCAAATATCCACTTGCAGATTTATCAAAAAGACTGTTTCAAAACCCTCAATCAAAAGAAAGTTTCAACACTGTGAGATGAATGCACACACTAAAAAGAAGTTTCTCCGAATGCTTCTGTCTAGTTTTTATGTGAAGATATTTCCTTTTCCACCACAGGCCTGAAAGCACTCCAAATATTCACTTGCAGATTCTACAAAAAGAGTATTTCAAAACAGCTCCATCAAAAGAATGGTTCCGCTTGGTGAGATGAATGCACACATCACAAAGAAGTTTCTCAGAGTGCTTCTGTCTAGTTTTTACGTGAAGATATTTCCTTTTCCACCATAGACCACAAATCGCTCCAAATATCCACTTGCATATACAACAAAAAGAGTGTTTCAAAACTGCTCAATCAAAAGAAAGGTTCAACTCTGTGAGATGAATGCACACATCACAAAGTAGTTTCTCAGATTGCTTCTGTCTAGTTTTTATGTGAAGATATTTATTTTCCACCATAGGCCGCAAAGCGCTCCAAATATTCACTTGCAGATTCTAGAAAAAGAGTGTTTCAAAAGGCTAAATGAAAAGAAAGGTTCAACTCTGTGATATATATGCACACGTCACAAAGAAGTTTCTCAGAATGCTTCTGTCTACTATTTATGTGAAGGTATTTCCTTTTCCAAAATATGCCCCAAAGCGCTCCTATTATCCACAGGCAGATTCTACAAAAAGAGTGTCTCAAAACTTCTCAATCAAAAGAAAATTTCAACCCTGTGAGATGAATGCAAACATCACAAAGAAGTTTCTCAGAATGCTTCTGTCTAGTTTTTAAGTGAAGATATTTCCTTTTCCTCCATAGGCCTCAAAGCGCTCCAAATATCCTCTAGCAGATTCCACAAAAGAGTGTTTCAAAACTGCTTAATCAAAAGAAATGTTCAACTCTGTGAGAGGAATGCACACATCACAAATAAGTTTCTCAGAATGTTTCCTCTAGTTTTTATGTGAAGATATTTCCTTTTCCACCATAGTCCTCAAAGTGCTCCAAATATCCACTGGCTGATTCTCCGAAAAGAGCATTTCAAAACTGCTCAATCAAAAGAAATTTTCAATCTGTGAGATGAATGTGCACATCACAAAGAAGTTTGTCAGAATGCTTCCGTGTAGCTTTTATGTGCATTTATTCCCTTTTCCACAATAGGCCTCAAGTGGCTCCAAATGTCCACTTGCAGATTCTACAAAAAGAGAGTTTCAAAACTGCTCAGTCAAAAGAAATGTTAAACTCTCTCTGATGAATGCACACATCACAAAGAAGTTTCTCAGAATGCTTCCATCAAGTTTTTATGTGGAGATATTTCCTTTCTAGCATCGACCCCTAAGCACTCCAAATATCCACTTACAGATCCTTCAAAAAGTGTGTTTCAAAACTGCTGAATCAAAAGAAAGGTTCAACTCTGTGAGTTGAATGCACATATCAGAAAGAAGTTTCTCAGAATGCTTCTGTCTAGTTTATATGTGAAGGTATTTCCTTTTCCGTCATACTCATCAAAGCGTTCCAAATATTCACTTGCACATGCTACAAAAAGAGTGTATCAAATCTGCTCAATGAAAACAATGGTTCAATTTGGTGAGATAAGTGAACACATCACGAGGAAGTTTTGCAGAATGCTTCTGTCTAGTTTTTCTGTGAAAATATTTCCTTTACTACCATAGGACACAATCGCTCCAAATATCTACTTTCAGATTCTACAAAAAGGGTGTTTCAATACTGCTCGATGAAAGGAAAGATTCAACCCAGTGAGATGAACGCACACATCACAAAGAAGTTTCTCAGAAGGCTTTCCGTCTAGTTTTTATGTGAAGATATTTCCTTTTAAACCATAGGCCACAATTCGCTCCAAATATCCACTTGCAGTTGCATCAAAAAGACTGTTTCAAAACCCTCAATCAAAAGAAAGTTTCAACACTGTGAGATGAATGCACACATTACAAAGAAGTTTCTCAGAATACTTCTGTCTAGTTTTTATGTGAAGATATTTCCTTTTCCACCACAGGCCTGAAAGCACTCCAAATATCCACTTGCAGATTCTACAAAAAGAGTATTTCAAAACAGCTCCTTCAAAAGAATGGTTAAGCTTGGTGAGATGAATGCACACATCACAAAGAAGTTTCTCAGAGTGTTTCTGTCTAGTTTATATGTGAAGATATTTCCTTTTCCAAGATAGACCTCAAACCGCTGCAAATATCCATTTACAGATATTACAAAAAGAGTGTTTCAAAACTGTTCAATCAAAAGAAAGGCTGAAATCTGTGAGTTGAATGCACAGACCACCAAAAGTTTCTCAGAATGCTTCTGTCTAGTTTTTATGTGAAGATATTTATTTTCCACCATAGGCTGCAAAGCGCTCCAAATATTCACTTGCAGATTCTAGAAAAAGAGTGTTTCAAAAGGCTAAATGAAAAGAAAGGTTCAACTCTGTGATATATATGCACACGTCACAAAGAACTTTCTCAGAATGCTTCTGTCTACTATTTATGTGAAGGTATTTCCTTTTCCAAAATATGCCCCAAAGCGCTCCTATTATCCACAGGCTGATTCTACAAAAAGAGTGTCTCAAAACTTCTCAATCAAAAGAAAATTTCAACCCTGTGAGATGAATGCAAACATCACAAAGAAGTTTCTCAGAATGCTTCTGTCTAGTTTTTAAGTGAAGATATTTCCTTTTCCTCCATAGGCCTCAAAGCGCTCCAAATATCCTCTAGCAGATTCCACAAAAGAGTGTTTCAAAACTGCTTAATCAAAAGAAATGTTCAACTCTGTGAGAGGAATGCACACATCACAAATAAGTTTCTCAGAATGTTTCCTCTAGTTTTTATGTGAAGATATTTCCTTTTCCACCATAGTCCTCAAAGTGCTCCAAATATCCACTGGCTGATTCTCCGAAAAGAGCATTTCAAAACTGCTCAATCAAAAGAAATTTTCAATCTGTGAGATGAATGTGCACATCACAAAGAAGTTTGTCAGAATGCTTCCGTGTAGCTTTTATGTGCATTTATTCCCTTTTCCACAATAGGCCTCAAGTGGCTCCAAATGTCCACTTGCAGATTCTACAAAAAGAGAGTTTCAAAACTGCTCAGTCAAAAGAAATGTTAAACTCTCTCTGATGAATGCACACATCACAAAGAAGTTTCTCAGAATGCTTCCATCAAGTTTTTATGTGGAGATATTTCCTTTCTAGCATCGACCCCTAAGCACTCCAAATATCCACTTACAGATCCTTCAAAAAGTGTGTTTCAAAACTGCTGAATCAAAAGAAAGGTTCAACTCTGTGAGTTGAATGCACATATCAGAAAGAAGTTTCTCAGAATGCTTCTGTCTCGTTTATATGTGAAGGTATTTCCTTTTCCGTCAAACTCATCAAAGCGTTCCAAATATTCACTTGCACATTCTACAAAAAGAGTGTATCAAATCTGCTCAAGGAAAAGAATGGTTCAATTTGGTGAGATAAATGAACACATCACGAGGAAGTTTTGCAGAATGCTTCTGTCTAGTTTTTCTGTGAAAATATTGCCTTTACTACCATAGGACACAATCGCTCCAAATATCTATTTCAGATTCAAAAAAAAGGGTGTTTCAATATTGCTCGATGAAAGGAAAGATTCAACCCGGTGAGATGAACGCACATATCACAAAGAAGTTTCTCAGAAAGCTTCTGTCTAGCTTTTATGTGAAGATATTTCCTTTTAAACCATAGGCCACAATTCGCTCCAAATATCCACTTGCAGATTTATCAAAAAGACTGTTTCAAAACCCTCAATCAAAAGAAAGTTTCAACACTGTGAGATGAATGCACACACTAAAAAGAAGTTTCTCCGAATGCTTCTGTCTAGTTTTTATGTGAAGATATTTCCTTTTCCACCACAGGCCTGAAAGCACTCCAAATATTCACTTGCAGATTCTACAAAAAGAGTATTTCAAAACAGCTCCATCAAAAGAATGGTTCCGCTTGGTGAGATGAATGCACACATCACAAAGAAGTTTCTCAGAGTGCTTCTGTCTAGTTTTTACGTGAAGATATTTCCTTTTCCACCATAGACCACAAATCGCTCCAAATATCCACTTGCATATACAACAAAAAGAGTGTTTCAAAACTGCTCAATCAAAAGAAAGGTTCACCTCTGTGAGATGAATGCACACATCACAAAGTAGTTTTTCAGATTGCTTCTGTCTAGTTTTTATGTGAAGATATTTATTTTCCACCATAGGCCGCAAAGCGCTCCAAATATTCACTTGCAGATTCTAGAAAAAGAGTGTTTCAAAAGGCTAAATGAAAAGAAAGGTTCAACTCTGTGATATATATGCACACGTCACAAAGAAGTTTCTCAGAATGCTTCTGTCTACTATTTATGTGAAGGTATTTCCTTTTCCAAAATATGCCCCAAAGCGCTCCTATTATCCACAGGCAGATTCTACAAAAAGAGTGTCTCAAAACTTCTCAATCAAAAGAAAATTTCAACCCTGTGAGATGAATGCAAACATCACAAAGAAGTTTCTCAGAATGCTTCTGTCTAGTTTTTAAGTGAAGATATTTCCTTTTCCTCCATAGGCGTCAAAGTGCTCCAAATATCCTCTAGCAGATTCTACAAAAAGAGTGTTTCAAAACTGCTTAATCAAAAGAAATGTTCAACTCTGTGAGAGGAATGCACACATCACAAATAAGTTTCTCAGAATGTTTTCCTCTAGTTTTTATGTGAAGATATTTCCTTTTCCACCATAGTCCTCAAAGCGCTCCAAATATCCACTGGCCAATTCTCCAAAAAGAGCATTTCAAAACTGCTCAATCAAAAGAAATTTTCAAATCTGTGAGATGAATGTGCACATCACAAAGAAGTTTCTCAGAATGCTTTCCGTGTAGCTTTTATGTGAATTTATTCCCTTTTCCACAATAGGCCTCAAGTGGCTCCAAATGTCCACTTGCAGATTCTACAAAAAGAGAGTTTCAAAACTGCTCAGTCAAAAGAAATGTTAAACTCTCTCTGATGAATGCACACATCACAAAGAAGTTTCTCAGAATGCTTCCATCAAGTTTTTATGTGGAGATATTTCCTTTCTAGCATCGACCCCTAAGCACTCCAAATATCCACTTACAGATCCTTCAAAAAGTGTGTTTCAAAACTGCTGAATCAAAAGAAAGGTTCAACTCTGTGAGTTGAATGCACATATCAGAAAGAAGTTTCTCAGAATGCTTCTGTCTAGTTTATATGTGAAGGTATTTCCTTTTCCGTCATACTCATCAAAGTGTTCCAAATATTCACTTGCACATTCTACAAAAAGAGTGTATCAAATCTGCTCAATGAAAACAATGGTTCAATTTGGTGAGATAAGTGAACACATCACGAGGAAGTTTTGCAGAATGCTTCTGTCTAGTTTTTCTGTGAAAATATTTCCTTTACTACCATAGGACACAATCGCTCCAAATATCTACTTTCAGATTCTACAAAAAGGGTGTTTCAATACGGCTCAATGAAAGGAAAGATTCAACCCAGTGAGATGAACGCACACATCACAAAGAAGTTTCTCAGAAGGCTTCTGTCTAGCTTTTATGTGAAGATATTTCCTTTTAAACCATAGGCCACAATTCGCTCCAAATATCCACTTGCAGATTTATCAAAAAGACTGTTTCAAAACCCTCAATCAAAAGAAAGTTTCAACACTGTGAGATGAATGCACACACTAAAAAGAAGTTTCTCCGAATGCTTCTGTCTAGTTTTTATGTGAAGATATTTCCTTTTCCACCACAGGCCTGAAAGCACTCCAAATATTCACTTGCAGATTCTACAAAAAGAGTATTTCAAAACAGCTCCATCAAAAGAATGGTTCCGCTTGGTGAGATGAATGCACACATCACAAAGAAGTTTCTCAGAGTGCTTCCTTCTAGTTTTTATGTGAAGATATTTCCTTTTCCACCATAGACCACAAATCGCTCCAAATACCCACTTGCATATACAACAAAAAGAGTGTTTCAAAACTGCTCAATCAAAAGAAAGGTTCAACTCTGTGAGATGAAGGCACTTATCACAGAGAAGTTTCTCAGAATGCTTCTGTCTAGTTTATATGTGAAGATATTTCCTTTTCCAAGATAGACCTCAAACCGCTTCAAATATCCATTTACAGATATTACAAAAAGAATGTTTCAAAACTGTTCAATCAAAAGAAAGGCTGAAATCTGTGAGTTGAATGCACAGACCACCAAAAGTTTCTCAGAATGCT